>NC_000010.11:9100909-9252424 GCF_000001405.40 Homo sapiens | reverse complement strand
AAGCATTTATCCTTTGTGTTACAAACAATCCAATTACACTATTTTAGTTATTTTTAAATGTACAATTAAATTATTATTAACTAAAGTCCCACTGTTTGGCTCGCAAGTACCGGGTCTCATTCATTCTTTTTTTTTTTTTTTTTTTTTTTTTTTGAGACGGAGCCTTGCTCTGTCGCCCAGGCTGGAGTGCAGCAGCGCGATCTCGGCTCACTGCAACATCTGCCTCCCGGGTTTAAGCGATTCTCCTGCCTCAGCCTCCTGAGTAGCTGGGATTATAGGCGCCCGCTACCATGCCTGGCTAATTTTTGTGTTTTTAGTAGAGACAGGGTTTCACCGTGTTGGTCAGGCTGGTCTAGACCTCCTGACCTCGTGATCCTCCCGCCTCGGCCTCCCAAAGTGCTGGGATTACAGGCGTGAGCCACAGCGCCCGGCCTTATTCATTCTTTCTAACAATTTTTTTTGTACTTATTAACCATTTACGTCTGTCTGCCCCCAACCCATCACTATCATTCCCAGCCTCTGATAACCATCATTCCACTCCCTATCTTCATGTATTCAATTCTTTTGATTTTTAGATTCTACAAATAAGTGAGAACATGTGATATTTGTCTTTCCATGCCTGGCTTATTTCACTTAACATAATGTCCCCCAATTCCATCCATGTTGTTGTAAACGGCAGGACCTCATTCTCTTTTATAGCTGGATAGTACCCCAATTGTGTATAAGTACTGCATTTTTTGGGGGGCAAGGATGTGCTTTAATGAAAATTCTGTTTTTTTTTAATTTCTGTGTATGTGTGTTGGGTTACAATGTAAAATATATTTCTTACAGTGAGTCTCAGTAAAACAAAATAAAAACCATTTGAAGGCCACTATGTTAAAAGATGTAAAAGAGTTCATGGAGACAAACAAGGTAGGATAATGACTATATTTTTTTGCAAAGGCAGAGGTTGAAAGATGGAAACGTGTTGAAGGACAGAGTAGTTCACTATCTGGATGTGAGATGTCACTAGACGAGTGAGATAAGGCTGTAAAAAGGAAGATGAGGTGAGGAAAGTGGGAAAACATAGAGGACTTGAAATCCAAGCCAAAGATTACAGGTTTTATTCTAACATGTAGAGAGCCATTGTAGATTTCTGGACAGCGGAGGAACAATAACAGAGTTATAGTACTGCATTTTCTTTATCCATTCATCTGTTGATGAACACTTAAGTGGCTTCCAAATCTTGGCTATTGTGAACAGTGCTGCAACAAGTGTGGGAGTGCAGATATCTCTTTGATATACTGATTTCCTTTCTTTTGGATACATACCCAGCAATGGGATTGCTGGGTTGGATGGTAGCTCCATTTTTAGTTGTTTGAGCAACCTCCAAACTGTTTTCCAGAGTGGTTGTACTAATTTATATTCTTATCAACAGTATACAAGAGTTCCCTTTTCTTCGCATCCCCATCAGCATTTGTTAGTTGCCTATGCTTGTGGCGTATGACTCAATAAATTTTTGCCTAGACCAATGTCCTGGAGAGTTTCCCCAGTCTTTTCTTATAGTCGTTTTGTAGTTTGAAATCTTAGATTTAAGTCTATAGTCCATTTTGATTTTTGTATAAGGTGAAAGATAAGGGTCAAGTTTCATTCTTCTGCATATGGACACCCAGTTTTCCCAGCACTGTTTATTGAAGAGACTGTCTTTTCCCCAAATTATGTTCTTGGCACATTTGTCAAAAATGATGTCACTGTAGGTGGGTGGATTTGTTTCTGGATTCTCTATTCCATTCCATTGGTTTATGTGTCTTTTTAAATGCCAGTACCACACTGTTTTGATCACTATCACTCTGCAGTACAATTTGAAGTTAGGTAATATGATTCCTCCAGTTTCATTCTTTTTGCTCAGGATGGTTTTGGTTATTCTGGATCTTTTGTGATTTCATATAAATTTTAGGATTGGTTTTTCTATTTCTGATCTTTTAAATATATTGTTGAATTCGGTTTGCTGGTATTTTGTTGAGGATTTTTGCATCAACACTTATCAGTGATATTGGCCTGTGGTTTTCTGTTTCTTCATGCATCTTTAAGTGGTTTGGGTATCAGGGTAATACTGGTTTTGTAGAATGGGTTTGGAAGTAGTCCCTGTTTCTCTACTTTTCAGAACAGTTTGAGTAGGAGAGTTATTAGTTCTTCTTTAAATGTTTGGCAGAATTCAGCAATGAAACCATTAAGTCCTGGGCTTTTCTTTAATGGAAGACATTTTATTATACATCAGTCTTATTATTTGTTATTAGTCTGTTCAGATTTTGCATTTCTTCGTGGTTCAACCTTGGTAGATTGTATGTGTCTAGGAACTATTAATTTCTTCTATATTTTCCAACTTACTGAAATATAGTCATTCATAGTGGTCACTAAGGATCCTTTGAATTTCTGCAGGATCAGTTGCAATGTCTCCTTTTTCATCCCTGATTTTGTTTATTTGGATCTTCTTTCTTTTTTTCTTAGTTAGCCTGGCTAAAAATTTGTGATTTTTGTTTTGTCATTATGAAAAACCAACTTTTGTTTAATTGATCTCTTGTATTGTTTTTCTTAATTTCAAGTTCATTTATTTCTGCCCTAATCTTTATTTTTTTCTTTTCTTCTAGTATTTTTTGGTTTGATTTGCCCTTGCTTTTCTAGTTATTGAAGATGCATCATTATTTATTTATTTGAAGTTTTTCTTGTTTATTAATGTAGGCACTTATAGCTATAAATTTGTCTCTTATTACTGCTTTTCCTGTATCCCATAGATTTTTGTATATTATGTTTCCATTTTCATTTGCTTTAAGAAAATTTTCAGTTTCCTTCTTAATTTATTCAGGAGCATATTGTTTAATTTTTACGTGTTTCTATGCTTTCCAAAATTTATCTTGTTTTGACTTTTAGTTTTATTCCTTTGTGGTCTGGGAAGATGCTTGATATTATTTAAATTTTTTGAATATTTGTGATCTAACATATACTCTGTCCTTGGAAGTCATCCATGTACTGAGGAGAAAATTGTGTATTCTGCAGTTGTTGGATGAAATGTTCTGTGAATATCTATTAGGTTGCTTTGTTCTGTAGTGCAGTTTAAGTCTGATGTTTCTTTGTTGATTTTCTATTTAGGAAATCTGTTGAACATAGAAAATGGGGTATTGAAGTCTTCAGCTATTATTGTATTGGAGTCTGTCTCTCTCTTTAACTCTAACAATATTTGCTTTATATATCTTGATGCTCCAGTGTTGGGTGCATATATACTTATAATCCTTGTATCTTCTTCCTTCATTGATCCCTTTATCACTATATGATGAACTTCTTAATCTCTTCTTACAGTTTTTGTCTTGAAATCTATTTCGTCTAATATAAATATAGCTAACTCTATTCTTTTTTGGTTTCCATTGGCATAGAATATGTTTTTCCATCCCTTTATTTTTAGTCTATGTTAATTTTTATAGGTAAAGTGTGTTTTTTGTAGGCAACAGATTAATGGGTCTTCCTATTTTTATCCATTCAGCCAGTCAATGTCTTTTGATTGGATAATTTAGTCCATTTACCTTCAATGTTGTTATCAATGTTATTGATAAACAAGGACTTCCTCCTGCCATTTTGTTATTTGTTTTCTGGTTGTTTGTGGTCTTTTCTTCCTTCTTTCCTTCCTTCCTTCCCATCTTCCTTTCAGTGAAGGTGATTTTTTTTTCTGGTTATATGATTTAGTTTCTTGCTTTTTATGTTTTGTGTATTCATTGTATATTTTTTCATTGGAGGCTACCATGAGGTGTGCCAATACTACCTTATAACCCATTATTTTAAACTGAAGACAACTTAACACTGCATAAACAAAGAAACATGCAAAAGGAAAAATAATAAATAATAAAACCTCTATACTTTAACATTGTCCGCTGCTTTTTAACTTTTTTATTGATTCTCTTTATATCTTATTTTACCATCTATGTCTTGAAAAGTTATTGTAGCTCTAAATGAAGAGGTTATAATTTATGGAATGTGACCTGCTGAAGCTATGTGGCATTTTTGGTTTATATCCCCAAACCATGATAACTGTGGTAACTGTGGTTACCATAGTTTAGTAAGATTATAAACAAAGAAAAGTACTAAGTGATCAATAAACTTGGTACTCTCGATGAACAGTTTGACCCAATTTTTTGTTATTTTCAGAACATGCTTAACTCACTTTCTGGTTAATAACTGGTAAGGCTTTTGCAGGCACAAAATATTATAAGATACACTATTAGGAATAATTTGAAATACAAAGAAACAAGGAAGATAAGTAAATGTTGAGAGAGGATTTTGATTCCATTTTAGAGATATGAAGTTTCAGGCAATGGTGAGATATATAAGTTGAGATGTCAGGTCGGCAGTTGGACATGTAAGTGTGCTTAAATATATATGTATTTAATTTAATATGAATGATTGATTTCATTCAATTTGTTATAAAATTGAAAGGTTGTCTCTATCTTCCTTTCATCATTTCATCTTGCATATTTGTAAAATCATTAACTCTTCATCATATAACTCTGAAGAGTGGAAATGATTACACCTTCCATTAATATGATGAGAATGATTTAATTGATGAATGATCTATTATGGCTAACATGGTAAATTCAAATTATTTAAAATTATTTGGAAATTAGAGCATCTCTTTCATGCTATTATAATACGCTTAGTAAATACATAAATAAATATCATTATAAATGATATTAGTAAATAAATATAATATTATAAATGAACTAAATATATTTAATGTTTATTAATCACGTTGGCTCTAATCTTGCTATTTGTTTTCTACTTGCCTCATTTATTCTTTTTTCCCTCTATTCTTTTCTTTTTTTTGGATTAATCGATTATGATTTCATTTTATCTCCTTTATTGGCTTATCAGCTATAGCCTTTTGTAGCATTTTTTAGTCATTACAGTATACAGCCTTAGTTTATTGCCAATTTGACTTTAAGAATATTATACCACCTTTTATATATAGTAACCTTATAAGGGTAAACTATATTTGTTCCTTCCTAGTGCTTATGAAATTGTAATTCATTTGATTCCTACATATGTCATGTATCTCACATGTATCTATTTTTGTTTTAAGCACTCAATTATATATTAAATGGATTAAAAATAGGGAAAAGTATTAAACTTATTTACATATTTAGCATTTTCAGTGAACGTAATTCCTTTGTGCAGATTGAGGTTTGTAGTGTGGGTCATCTAGTAATAGATTTTTCAATTCTTATATGTCTGAAAAAATATTCAAACTTTGTGTTTGAAAAGCATTTCAATGGACATATAATTCTAGCTTTACATTTTTTTCTTAAAATACTGAAATATATAATTCCATCTCTTACTTGTTTTCATCAAAAAACTTTTCTTTTCATCACTGATTGTAATTTTTCATGATGCCCTTCAATCTAATTTTCTTATGCTTCCTGTCTTTGAGGTTCATTGAGCTTCTTGTATCTTTGAGTTTATACTCTTCATTAACCTTTTAGAATATTTGGTCATTAGTTTTTCAAATGTATTTTTATGTTCACATTATCTCTCCTCTGTTTCAGAGACTCTGAATACATGTGCATTCAATCACTTGAAGTTGTCACACAATTTTCTGAGGTTGTGTATTTTAGTATATTTTCTCTGTGTTTTGAGTAGTTTCTATTGCCATGTCTTCAGGTTCACAAATATTTTCTTCTGTGGCATCTAATCGGCTGTTAATCCCATCCACATTAATTCTCTATCACCACCATATCATATGGCTGCAAATTTAGTGACTTAAGACAAATTTATAATCTTACTGTTCTGGACCTCAGCCGTCCAACAGGCATCTTATTGGGCTAACATCAAGGTGTTGGCTAGGCTGCAATACTTTTGGAGGGCTTTAAGAAGGAATTGCTTTCTTGCCTTTTCATCTTTTAAAGACCACCCACATTCTTTGGCTTGAGACTGCCTGCCTCTCCTTCTTTTTTTTTTTTTCTTTTTGAGACAGAGTCTCACTCTTTTCACCTAGGCTTGAGTGCAATGGTGCAATCGTGGCCCACACCAACCTCTGCCTCCTGGGTTCAAGCGATTCTCCTGCCTCAGCTTCCCGAGTAGCTGGGATTAAGGTGCCCGCCACCATGCCCAGGTAATTTTGTATTTTTAGTAAAGACGAGGTTTCACCATGTTGCCCAGGCTGGTCTCGAATTCCTGACCTCAGGTAATCCACCCATCTCGGCCTCCCAAAGTGCTAGGATTACAGGCATGAGTCACTGCACCTGGCCCCTGCCTTCTTCTTGAAAGACAGTCATAAAGTTACCCTCTGATCCAACTCTCTGTGTCACATCTAAGAAAGAAAGAGAGAAAGAGAGGGAGAAAAAAGACAAAAGAAAGAAGAAAGAAAGAGAAGAACAAAGGAAAAGTCCGTTTCTCCACCTGCCTTTTTGACTTTTAAGAAAGAAAGAGAATAGAAAGAAAGAAAGACCTGTTTCTCCACCTCCCTCTTCGACTTTTAAGGACAGTTGTGATCACATTGGACCCACCCAAATAATTGTGGAGAATATTCCTATTTCAAAGGCTTTAACTTAATCACATCTGCAAAGTTTCTTGTACCATGTAAAGTAACATATTCACAATTTCTGGGATTAGAATATGGCCCTCTTTGGGGAGCCATTGTTTTGCATGCCACACCACTGGATATGTTTCATAATTTGTGAATTTAATCTCTACAGGTTTGATTTGGACTTTATCTTCTGCATCTCTACTGAAACATGCTCAGTCTTTCCTCTGCCTTCTTAAACATATGGAGTACAGTTACAGTAACTGTTTTCATGTCCTTGTTTACTATCATCTGCGTCATGTCTAGTTCTCTTTTAATTGACTGATTTTTCTTATCATTTTAAGCAATAATTTTTGTTTTTTTAATACCTAGTATTTTTTATTGAATGCCAGAAGTTGTGAATTTTACTTTATTCAATGCTAGATATATTTGTATTTTTTAAATTATTGAGCTTTATTCTGGAAATGGATAAGTCAGTTGGAAACAGTTTGAAACTTTTGAGACTTGCCTTTAACCTTTTTTAGGTTATCAGAGAAGCTTTATTCTAGAGGTAAATTTTCCTCTCTACTGAGGCAAGATGCTACTAAGTACTCTAACTAATGTCCTTTGAATTACAAAATTTGTCATTCTAGATGATGGGAAAAAAATTATATGTGTTGTTTTTGGTGTGTTTTCTTTTCTTTTTCTTTTTTTTTTTTTTTTTCTTCCTAGTCTTGGGTAGACCCCTCCCTGCTACCCATGGCTATAAATCACTTTAATGTGATTAAGTTAAAGCCCTTGCATGCCCTTCTCAGTACTCAGGCGAAGGCTTACAAGAGATCCTCCAGATGTCTGGAGTGCTCTTGCTGTGTGGCCCCTCTTCTCTTCACCACTCAGCCCTGCACACTCTGGTTGCCTTGGCCTCTGTACATTCCTAATTCCATCTCCTCAACTCAGGGAGAACTTTAGGCTCACTTAGACTCCTCCTCTCTGACTCTGGTCTGGAAAATCTCACCAGACAATAAATGGTGGATCATCTTAGCGCTTGACTTATTTGTTTCCCCCTCTCAAAAATCACTGCTTTGTGCTGCCAAATATCCAATGTCTAAAAAAAGTTTTTAATATATTTTATCTGTTTCTGATTTCCCATTGTTTATTGTTTTAGGCTGAAGGATAAATTCAATCTGTTATCCCATCATGATTGAAACTATGAGTCTTTCTATTCTTTCGTTCCAATATGAGAGCTGATTTTCAACACATTTGGTGCATTACATCCTAGGAACCCTCCAAGAAAAGAGACTGGGGAGGCATACTATTTGGTGTCTTGGGAGGATTTTATTCTCTACATAGTATATCTTTAATAACTTTGTAATTGGTACAGATTTATTGTAAAGATTCTAAATTCAAACTTTAGAAGGAATGCCTATTAGGAGGATTATATCATGGAGGGTGATGTGTGAAATGGAAGTATTTACACTAGAAGTGTTTGGATGCTGTTGCTTTAAAGGGAAACAGTGCAATTGACCTGGTTGGCACTGGGGAAACAGGAAGAAGGGCTGCTGGGAGACCAGAGCCAGAGAGCTGGGAATTAGGACAGCTGCTCTTTTTGTTTAAGCTGCCACTGGCCTTGCCAACGCATGGGAGCCTCTCACAAATCATGCAAATTTCAGGGTCTTTATGATGCCACCTTTGATTCATGCAGGCGAAGCAAGGGAGAGAAAACACTTATGTGTCAGTGTGTGTGTGCTTCCATAAACACGCCCAGAGACACATGCATGCACACCATTGCAAGATTTGGCTAGGATTGTGTAGCTGCTAAGTCATGTGGAAAGAGGTATGAAAAGAGAGCAGAGCTGCTCTCACACCACTGAGCCCGATGGCCTGAGGGAAGTGGACAGTTTGAAATTCCGCAGGAGAATTAGGGCAACGTATCACCTAGAATGACCAGCTGCTCTGCTCTATTCAGGGATCCTAGAGATCTGCTCTTCAGGCTTGTCTTTCTCTGACTTTGCCAACACTCATTGGTTTTCGTTTTCTAAATGCCAACAGCGCTCACATTATGTCCCACACGATTTAGCACACAACTGCCTAGTTTATAGTTATTTATTTATTTATTTTCAGCTGTTTCCTGTTGAGAAGTGTTGTCGCTTCAATCAAATGGAATGCTTCATGAGGAGAGGATTTCCGTGTCATACCTTTATGACACCATAGCAGCCCGACTGCCCCCAGTCTTGGGTGCTCCCTCTATGAAGCTAGATTATTGGTTATGGTCCAATAGGTAAAGCTTCGATTGGTTTGCTAGAGAAACCACAGTTGTTTGTTTAAAAAATGATTTATAATGATTTTTTTACAAAAATAATAGACATGTAATTATTTAGCAAAATATCAGGGAATGAAATAGAATAAATAGGCTTATGGAATAGTGTTTCAATAAAATAAAAGTTTCATAATTCTACCGCTTATTTGTACATTTTAACCAATTTGTGCACAAGTATCATACCCACAGATTTGATTGCCTCAGCAATGGGAAGGTGGTATTCTATAAGGTATTTATGTTCAATTCCTTGCTTGCTTTAATGTGATTACTATAGACAATAACACTTACATCATTTTGATCTTTAATGTTACAGTTTTCAGACATTATTCTTTTCATTTGCATTTGACAATGCAATGTATAATAATGGTGACAATGAAAATATATTTAAGAAATTTAAACAATAACTCAAAAAAGGCATTAAAAACATTGACTGAGGCCAGATGCAGTGGCTCACGCCTGTAATTCCAGCACTTTGGGAGACTGAGGCGGCAGATCACGAGGTCAGGAGATCGAGACCATCCTGGCTAACACGATGAAACCCTGTCTCTACTAAAAATATAAAAAATTAGCTGGGTGTGGTGGTGGGCACCTGTAGTCCCAGCTACTCGGGAGGCCGAGGCAGGAGAATGGCGTGAACCCAGGAGGCGGAGCTTGCAGTGAGCCGAGATCGCGCCACTGCACTCCAGCCTGGGCGACAGAGCAGGACTCCATCTCAGAAAAACAAAACAAAACAAAAACAACAACAACCAAAAAAAAACAAAACAAAACATTAACTGAAGTAAACCTCACCTGTTGATAGCCTATTAGCTAGGATTAACTAATCAATTTTCTTGGCTCATGAGTAACATTTCAATATGTGAGTTCTTAAGAGATTTATTCTTCAAGATGGCAGATAAGACACACTTGTACATCTTGACTTATTCTGTGAATTCCATTAGATTGATCATGAAGAAATAAAGGAATAAAATAAGTATAGAAGATAACTGGAAAAAAAAACTTCAGTAGCATTTCTAGTAATATGATTAAACACACACACACACACACACACACACACACACACACAAAAGACCAACAGAAAGAGAACAGAGAGAACAAAAGCTGTGAAAAGGGAGTTCATAGAAATTAAAAGTAAACTGCCAAATAAAAGCTTCACTACAGACTTGGAAGATAAACGCAAGCAAGTTAGGATATGGAGCACAGTTTGAAACTACAAGGTGAAACGTAAGAGACATAAATGTTCTTTTTGTCTATCACCAGGAAATCCAGCATTAGGTTACTAGGAATTCGAAGAAGAAAACAGAGAAAATGGATGGAAAACATCTATCAAGGAAATAATATATACTATTCAGTATAAATGACACTTGAAAAATTGAATTGCAAAGGGCCACTGACTACCATGTCCTATGGACTAAATAGCTCCATATCAAGACATTGTACTGAGAACCAACTGGTAGACCACTGAGAAGGTCAATGGTGTGGAGTGATACATTGTAATGTATTACATAGTAAGATGAGAAATAAATGTGTAGAGAAATAAAGGTCTATACTCCCATATTACATAAGCCAAAAAGTTAATTCTAATAATGAGCATCAAAATGGTAATGTAAATAAATATTTGTGATCCTTTTACTTCAATAGAAAATGTCCACCTTTACCTAAAATCATGATTAATAGTTTACATAGAACTTTAAACATTTAGAGATGTATACCCAACAAATTAATTTTTCTTATCATTTCTCATTCTGAAACACTAAGGTTTTCCTGCATACATGTCATTAACACACACACACACACATATATATATATCTATATATACATATATAGATATAGATATATATTGCATTGAGAAACTCAGTTTCTCATCTGTAAAACAGGCAGAATAATAGTACCCATCTTATATGATGACCCTTAGAATTAAATGCACCGATACATACAAAAATGGGGCAAGGCCTGGCACAGAGTAATTGTTTAGTAAGGGTTAGGTATTATAGTTCAAACATTGCAAATAAGCCAACTTATTTCTATTTCAGAGGATATGGTGGTTGTGAAAAATAGAACTTCAAAGTATAAAAACAAAAATAAAATGTGTGAAAACATCCAGAGGATGTTTTCCTCTGTCTGGTAGGACAGTGGTTTTTACCTTTTCATTTAAGACCTTTTGAACTATTTAATTTTTAACCATATTCATATATAGGTAAAATTACTTCCTTGAAAATTGTTCCCATTGAATGCATTTGTTTATGCTGGATCTCTTAGTGAGCCTGTACATAAGAAGCATTGAGTAAATATTTGTAGATTATGAGAAAATAATCTGTAGAATCTTAATTATCTATCTTACTCTCTCACCATTGACTTTGAAAATACATTTCTACTGTACTTTGAGAGTGTAGATTAGTGAACTTTTTATACTGCAACAACAACTTGTCTCTTTCTTTACTTCAATAATCAAAATACTGTATACAGATAAAATTATCATCCGTTCATTGCAGCCAGCATGTTTTCTTCTGTTTCAGAACTTAAATCTTCTGCCGTTTTTTCTATATCTCTTACGAATCTTTCTGAGAAAGAAGGGCATTACATGACCAGAAATTGGGTCATCATCCTGAATTCTGCCCAGTTCTGCCATGAGCTTCATGGTTTATCATCAGGTTGCTCACTTGTTTCTGCACAGAATTTGGGAACAAAGGTGACCCCTCTTCTGATTCCTTACTGTGAAGGAATAGAATGAATTTCTGCCACAGACCTTAGTGGAAGAATGGAGCTGGGGTCCTGTCTTTATCATTTACTGCATAACTTTCTCTAAGTTACCTAAACAATCTAAAACTTAGAGTTTTTTTTTTTTTTCTTTTTAGTGGAAGGTGGGTATGGAGAGGAGTAATTATGTTTACTCTAAAGAGTTGTTGTGGGCTTTAATTGAAATAAATATTTCCAAATGAATTGGAAACTGTTGAGTGATAAAGCAATGTCAGCACCTAGCCCAGACTTAATCACAGCAATGCCAATTATTGTTCTGCTTAAAGAAGATAAAACAGCAAAATCTGGAAAAGTCATAAATAATAATCATGCAATATCAGCTCTAGAACATTCCATCTGTCATCTCTTTTTTTTTTTTAGAAATAAACAATGTAAAATACTAGTAAGACTGAAAATTTAAAAGTTGCACTAAACATGACTAAGCTACCAATGCTCTATATTTTGGTTACCCATAATTATTCTTTTGGAGAAAAGTAGAGGAATTTTGGGAGGAAATATTAAGCATAAAAGAGAAGCATGTTGAACAACAATTGTTGCTTCTTGAGTTAAAAAGAAAATTTAGAAAAATTAGCTTACACAAGAACATTGTGTTTTTAATTGTTATAATGTATTTTCCTGTGTACAGAGCACTTTAATGAAATGCATCTCTAAAAATTCCAGTTTCCAGATACTACTTTTATAGATAAAATGATCTGACTGTGGCAACATTCTCAATCAGAATATATTTAAAAGCCTCATGTGCAAGAATAATTTTAAAAGATAAAATATTTTAAAAATGTGCTTTTAGAAAAAAAAATCACAGTTTGCTACCTGTGCTTCCAACCTAAAAATGAAAATACCCTACTGCATTTAACCTATATCTTAGATTATGTTCCTGAATGATACTGTAGCTTTTGCTGCAACATCCATCCAATCAAACTTTAACTATTTCCAGTTTTTCCCCCTTGAAATAGCAATAACAACTCTTTTCCTGGGGGTAGGAGAGAGGGGTTATGCCATAAAAGCTATCTTAAAATAAGCATTTTATTTATGCTGTTTTTCTTAGGGCCTAGGAAAGGTTGGAAGTGTTGAAAACTATTCAGGACTTTATACCATCTGCCCTTATTTCATATGTTCCCTCATATGAGTTGGAACAAAGGAGTGGGCTGGATGGAATTAAAGAATGTATATAAAAAAAAAGAAAGTAGTGATCAAACGCGACTGATAAGGGAAGCCAGTGTGCTCCCGGGTGATGTGTGTATTCAACTCCAGGCTGACTCCTCTTATGCTAATACAGCCAATTTCCTCTTTTATTTCATTTCTGGAGCCTGAATCTGTGATCTCTGATAAGGTTCCCAAGGATACCGCCTTCACTCACAAACGGGGAGGTGGAAGGGGGAGTGGATGATGGAGATGTGTAACTCGGAGAGAGCACTAGTGGATGAATAATTTAAAGCTCCGCCCGGAGATTTGAGGCAAAATGCAGAGATAAGAGACACCACAGGGTCCTCTCTGTTTATTCAGAGCTTCATCTTCCAATGACAGGTGACCTCCAAGGTCAAGGGCATGATGGGAAATGGAACCGACAGTGGGAAAAGGTACTGCATCCCAGAAGAAAGTAATGATTTACTTTGTGTCAAATGAAAAATTGATCTTTTTATGTAACTACTTCTTTATTTTGTTCATCAGTGGAAAACCTGTGATGGAAGACACTTTGCATAAACCACAGAGAGTATCCCCATGATATGGAGGTATTCCCATAGGCTCTTTCTTAGCAACTTCAACTTGATAATTTTAAATACCGTATTTCTTAAGGAAATTGTTAAGGTCAGAATGAACTTTGATTGGGTACTAAGTGTATATAACTTCAGCCCTCAAGTGACAAACACAATATCTGGGTTCAGAGTCAGTTTGGTCTTTAGTGTCCCTTAGGCAAAGGCTGTATTTCCTTAGCTTCCTACCTTTTAAACTTTGTCCTAAAAAGGCTCCGTGTGTTCCCCTCATTACAATTTTCTGGAGCCTTACATAATCCCTTTTGCAGCATAACACCACATTACATGCATTTAACCTAATCAAATCTTTGTGTTTTCACTAGTTTGCTGCCTAAATCCCTGAATCTAATAACTCTTTTCAGTTCAGAAAATTTGAAGCCATTTGTCCCGGGTAGAACCGTGTTGTTAGTTTTAGGATCTTATAAATTCTGACAGTGAGACACACACCTAGGAAAGCTCTGGTCCCCATGATCAAAACCGTCTGCTGGGTCGTTCCTATTTGTTTCAATAGAATACAACCATGACCTCTACCGAGAGAGAGGCAATGTCAAATGTTTCCCAGGGCTGGTTTACATTTCCCTCATAGTCTTAAACTGCTGTTTCTGCTTTCCTCTGTTTGAATGTTACCCATGTTTTCATTCCTGAGCAATCATACCTTTTATCTTTTTTAGATAAACATGAAAACATACTAAGGTCACTGCCAGGTGAGAGGTAAGATGTGCGTGACTGCCACCCAGCCCTATCGAGTCTTTTTCCCTCTCTCTTCCTTGGCAAACACTCCTTGAGGGTTTCAGTGAAGTGAGACAAGTTACAAGTATGATTCACAAGCTTGCCACAAAGAGTGCCCGTACAGGTCATTCTCCAGGGGTCCCATTACTGTGGCACCAGTCTGCTTGGTTTCCAGCACGCACTTTGCCCATGTCCCTCCTTTTTTTTTTTTCTTTCAACATTCTTGTTTTTATATTTATAGTCTATCAAAGCAAATACAAGGTGCACCACATTTTATGGCTTCCTGGTTGCATTTTATGCATTTTTGCCAAAGCTTAAAAGGAAACTACCCCATTATTTTTGGCCTGGCCTGGCCTGGCCTGGTCCTTTTTTTTTTTTTTTTTTTTTCTTCTGAGTCGTAGAAAGAAACATGAGAGAGGGAGCACACAAGCTGAAAGAGAAAGTTTCTGATGAAAATGGACCCTGATAACTGCTACAAATAAAACTAAAACACAAACTTTTTGGTAAGGATGGAAAATGAGTTTTCACGTTAGTCCTACCGCAATTTTCTTTTATTGACTTAAAAATCAGACATACAGTTTAACTTTCACATTGAGAGATATTTTTAAAACAAGGGTATAACTTTGATTAACTACTATGCGAATAGCACATTAGTTTCTTAGTATTTCTCTCCTTCATAGAGATTGCAGTTGTATTAGTTTGATATTTCACTTTCTTTTGACCATTTTCAATAAGCCAATGAGAAATGTGTTCCTTTTGCTAGATCATGTTTGCCAAATTGTTTCTAAAATTCATAGCTCAGTATCACAATAGCTAAATATCAACTATGGCCCTCATGATACATAATATTCATCTTATTCTAAAAGTGAATTTGATTTTTAAAATTATTGTCCTTCTAAAGGTGTGTTTCTACTTCTTTTTATCTCAAACTACTGTGCTTTATAATTTCTTTTGTTTTTATCTTGAAAGTATTTAGTGCTCAAATACAGAAGCTCAATATTTTCAGTTAAAAATGGCATTCAAATCTCAGGATACTGTCAACTGAAAAGAACAAAAAACTAATTTAGAACAAGAAAGAGACTAAACTATAAGAAAAAAATAGTTGGTCTTCAGCTAAGAGACCCTTCTCAAGTCAGTTTTTAGAAAGTACTATTCCTTTTCAAAAACAGAATTAGGACTTTGTGTTATAGCACATTTTTATCAATGTATATATGATACTCATAACACTTTAGATTTACGGTAGGCATTAAAGATAATCGAGTATAAACTTTTAAGGAGGTATTGATAGCAAAGTCAGGACTGAAACTCCTCTATCCTCCTAGCCCAGTGGTCTTTCAACTCTATCATTCTCAAATTGGTTTTGTTCATATGAATAAAAGGAAAACTGCCAATTATCACTCCCGGATATGTGAAAGGACCAGCATTCGTTCATGCTCTTTGATGTTAAAATCCCCAAGCTTCTGATTCCTCTATTTGAGAAACAACTCAACTGCTCTAATCAAAGCTTAGTTGTATGAAACACTTAGGCCAAATGATTTAGTACACAGGCATGAAGAGGTTAAATGAAGTATTCAAGTATTAAGCCTTTAAAATTTTCTAACTTTGCTAGTTGACAAAAATTTATTTCCACAACAACAAAAATTAATGTTGCTGGTGACTGTGAAAACAATCATGTATGAACTGGTAGATAAGAGGAAAATGGAGGAAATCAGCGTGTAGAACTTATTAACAAGAATCTGTGTTTACGATGGGTACTTTTACCTTAAAATGATTAAATAAATATGAAATAAAGTAATATTATATTGAAATGGCAATAGATGCTATTATTATAAAAAAGTCATTGAAATTACTTTTGCATGGAATAAGTAAATTCAAAAACATTAATTAGAATTTTAGACACTTTAGAGAATATTTCTCTAGAATTTTAGACACTTTAGAGAATATTTCTTCATTTTTAATTTGAAGGCCCCGAGGCTCTGAGAAATTAAGTTACTTGCCTAAGACACTACAGCTAATTTGTAGTAGAGCTGGAAATAGAACTCATGTCTCTTTGCCCTGTTTAATACAAATGCAGAAAAGTGGGAGAATTAGAAACCAAAGTTGTCTACACGGACCTTTCTTTCCATTCCAGAGTTTGTTTGAAAGTGGAAATGGATACCTCTTCCTGCAATGACTTTTCCTGCAGGGACCTTTTCTGAAATGGCTTTTCAACATTCATCTAGTCGGATAATCTATGCATGCCTCCGATTATCATAGTCTCTCTTCTCTAGCCCCAAATCAATGATCCAGAAGTAAGGCAATGTATAACTTTGTTATAGGAAAGATATTCTCCAGTAGCTTAGTATTACAAAGTCTGAATTTAACTTTGGAATAATTTGGATAAATACTCATTTAAAAATAAAAATTAAAATAAGACAACAAACAGACATGCATCAAGCCTGCATTCTCTTTTGGGTCATAGCTTGTTTACATTTATACATCACTATAGCCCCTGAATTCTGACTGTCCCTGTAACATGCTTTAGATTCGGATTCAAATTTTCTTTGAGCCATCACTTGCTGTATAGAAGATTCTAGGCATCCAATATGCATTATTTGCAGGTTTCTTAAAACGGGGTGCTTTTGCTGATCATAATTGTACAAAGCATTTTACCTATGGAAATATTGGGAGGAGGGTGTTCAGTCATTAAATTAAGGAGAACCGCATTTCTCTCGTCTCTTTCCCATGGAAATGAATCTGGATGTCTGTGTCATAGCCTGTTTTGCTTCCCTTGGGTGAATTAATCAATACATAAAACCAAATCTAGGGCTGGTTTCCCTCTTATCTCTATTATTTGGATTTCGTTTCAGATTTGGGAAATTGGTTTGATCTAACAGTTTAACTTTCAAAGCCACTCTTATTTTCCATAGCACTCATTGCTAAAATACTCATTGCTAAAATCATAGTATGTATGCAGTAAGTTTAAAATCCCATAGTTCATTATTGATATGAATGTATTTTGATCATTCATTATATGTTAGAATTCTAAAATATTACTTGCATATAGTTTATGAAATAATACTCTACACACAATTTAGGATTGAATTTATGTTCTAGTTCATTTTTGGCAAACTCATTAAAAAATACTCTTTACAATTTTATTATTTTTAGACAATGTCTATTTGCTAAATTTAGTTTTACTTATATGGTACATGTTAGTTAAAATGTTGAATAAAGAGGTCAGTGAAACTGGAAAAGACTGTATTACATTCAAAGTTTTGTTTGTCTAGTTTTTTTTGTTTGTTTTTTGTTTTTTCTTTTTTTTTTTTTTTTGCCATATGCCCATTCAGTTGAATTTCTTCACTTAAAGCCATTTTTCATTTGCATTGAAGGAAAAAAATCACATTACCATTTAAAATGTTTTTTCTGTCAGATTTGATTAGTTTCCTTCAAGTGTACTTTTATAATATACATTTATGAAAAGGAGAGAAACTAGTAGATACCTTATAGTTCTATTACCTAAAACCCTCAAAAGAATTCAATTTCATCCAAATGCAAAATTCACACCATATTTTTCCGAATTAAGTTTTTCTAAGTTAAAGCAAACTATTAACTAAAACAGTAGTTAGCTTTCCCTGAGGAGATATTTCCTTTCTTATTTTTTCTCCATATTTTGGAAGACAAGACTTTGGAGAAATGTTTTTAATCCACTTAAAAATAAAGGAGGTATGCTTTAGCCATTTTTCATTAAACACCATGAAAATGTGTTAATTCCATCTAATTGTGGATAAGCTAAAAAAAAAAAGCATTTTAACATGTGTGAACTATGACCTCAGGAGGGCTTAATTCTCTTTGTTATTACAGTTTTTCTAAGATTGTTGCTCACATGGCTCTCACTATTTTTCCAACAACAACAAAAAAAATGCATTAGTGCTGGTTTGCTGGTTGATGCTTACAACTTGGGCTCTATTCATAAGATGTCCTGTCAATTCTTAGCTGAACAATAATAACCTCTGTGTCTGTGTGTGTTCCATGAATAGTCCTCCTGTCTCACATTTACCCACTACCCAAGAGCTCACCCGTGTTTCATGTTTATGTTTGCATGACTTGGGTTGTGCATCTTCTCACAACAAAATTTCATAAAAATTAAGTGATATAGTAATCACCAGTGCAGCTTGGAAAGCCTTGCAAAATGTCAGTTTGCTTGTTAGTTGTGCAAAAACAAAAGATTTGAAAACCAGATTGTAAAAGTTTCACACAGCATTTATTGATTATAGTATAAATAGTAGAGCACTGCTTTGTAGAGCATTTTAAATATATTTGTAAAATTATGCATAACAAAAATCATAAGATATTTTGTAAGGCTATATCTTGTTTTGGGACTAAAAGTATTTAGACATTGCTAAACTTACTATATACATTTCAAGGAGAAATTCCTGTAAAAGGGGTCATTTCTGAAAGAGTAAAGACTACTTTACATGTATATTTAGGAAAGTCACTGTTTTATCTTGAAAAATTATGGATAGTTTCATGTAACAACTATTATAACAAAATAAAGTCATTTTGATAAAATCTTTTGAAAGTTTTGTATTTATCTATATACTTAGGTGTTAAAAAGTTAAACTATTGAGGACAGAAAATATGAAGATTCCAAGTTAGGTATTTAGGAATAAAGAAACTAAGATGAACACAATATAGCAAAAAATTAAAAATCGCTTTCACGTAAAAATTCCAACAGATAATTTTTGCAATCCTAAAATGTAATGTACTGGCAAAACAAATTTTATTATTTGTTAAACAACCACAAATGTGAAATGAAGTGACACATAGGACCCTGCACTCTGCGCAAAACTATGGCACAGACTTAGCTAACTCTATCCTTTTGCAACTAAGTTTTCATTACAGCAATACAACTGTATTTAACATGTCTTATTTAGAAAAGCCTTATAGGTTAAACTATATAATTAGGCAAATAATCAAATGAAGAGAACAGAGAAAGTAGATCAGCAAATTAGAAATCAGACATTTAAAATACAGAATGTGAGTTCCTAATCCGGGATTTGTTTATATGTTATTGATCATAAGACTCTGAAGCAAAATAAAGTGGCATAAAATGCTAGATATTAAAAAGAACACTAATAACAAGAAAATGTCAGCCAATATTACTTTCATACTTTTTCCCTTTACCAGTGATTTTTTTACACACCCCAATGCCTTATTGAGTCAGTGTCATATCCTGTCTAACTGCATGATACATTTTTTTTATTTGGTTCCACGAGATGCAAGACTGACACTCTGATTTCACAGAGAAGATATGGATTCATAACAAAGGGCTTAAAATTAGGGTGTTTTCCCCCTATCAGTATTGCAATTACAGATGACACTCAGTTTTCAGAACAAAATTATCTGTAGTTTAATTTGATTCTGTAACATGTTTAGAGGTTGAAATTTAAGTTCACTGATAAAGTAACTTCTTGTGGATGAAACTTCAAAGATGAAGAGACAGATTAAACACCCAGGCCAATATCCATACAGAGCAGGTACAAATGGCAGAGATATCAGGATGGAACAGTGAAAGGGACAAGGAGCTATCCTCAAATCTCTTACTGGGGATCATACTGTCTTTACTTAACATTATGGTGGCCCCATTTTCTTGCTTATCTATTAATATATTTTTATTTTGTTCAGAAAAAATATTGTTGAGAGCACCCCATGGTAGCAGTGAAGCATACTTTTCTTCCCTGCTGATTATGAAAAGATACAAAGCAGAGGAAGGTGGAGAATGTACAGTGGGATTTTAGTGGCTCAACAGTTATGTCCTAATTGAATATACAACCCTTGACTTTCAAATAGGTCAGAAAAGGACAAAGTGGGACATTCACTGAAGCCTGAAGGCCCTCCTGGTCTCTGAGCATGGAAGCCCTTCTCTCTCAGTTGTCAGAGGGCTGGGAATGTTGAAAAGGCAAGAGTCAGAAGGCGGAGGAATAGAGAATCGTAAAATAAGGCACTTCCATTCGTAGTTCTTTGTTTAGATTCTGGCTTTTAGGACTCCAGGAAATTTATACTCAGTTTCTTCCTATGAATATGCCACACTCCACTGTTAGGGAGAAGAAAAACTATACTCAAAGCCTTAATGAATCTTCTCCCTGGTTTGAATAACTTTTTTTTTTTTCTATCTTCTACACGCACTTAAAATTTGCACAGTGCTGTGGAGAATTCAGGAGAGGTCATTTTCAGAATGAGCTCATTACCACAATTTTATAAAACCTTTGCAAAGCAAGGAAAGGTGATATCATAATTTCCATGTAGTCAATGAAAATGTAGAAAGTCAGGTAGTCTTTCTCATGTTTTTCTGACCCTAATCCTGTGCATTGTGGACCCATGTCTTCTGTTTCTCTAAAAACAGGCATTTCTCAGTCCTCTTCTTGACCAAATGTTCTTCTCTGTCTCCATTTTCTGCCTTGGAGGCAGGTCTCGCTTCTTCCGAGTTTGGTTTCTGACTTTCTGTATTACTGATTTGATAGCCAATAACACGATGCTTCGACAGTGCATTTAGTTATTTAACTTGTCCTATACGTGTACTTACGCAGTGCAGCAAGTCTATTCATACAAGAGTGATGTCATGAGGTTACATGCTTGATACCTTCTGTACTTTGCAAATAAGGGTTACTTAATTTAAGAACTAGTGTGCATTGTTGCTGTACTTGATGGTCACCACAAAATAAATGAGGTTGTTAAGTGGTTTAACTAGAAACACCCACTAAATGGGATTTGTAAGAGCAGAAGTTAGCACATTTCTCATTCACTTGTGAATGAAGAGAGGGAGACTATATTCAGACTCCAAAGAAGATGGAGTTGTATTTCACATTATAAACCAAACTTACAGTAAAGTTTTCTATTAAAAAAATCTTTAAGATGTCAGAAAAACCATCTTATCAATCTTTAGATAAAACACTATTCTTAAGAAATAAGACATATGCAAATACATTTGACTCTGAATATATATTTTTTTAAGTTGAGCCTTCAGGCTCTGTAAAAATGCAACTTACTGCATAAAGAGGAAGGAAATAATTATCCGAATGTCTGCATGACCAACTTTCCTACTATCGTTCATATTATACTTGTTTCAAACCATGTTCTTTTACTCATTGGATTCTCCCAAACTTCGACATTTTTCTGTTTTTTTTTTTCCTTCACTAATTCTTCACTGAAATTCAGCATAAGAGCCATCTCCTCCAAGTGACCTCTCTTTGCTCACACATGGCTCATAGCAAACATTTTCTCACTTTGCATTCCTATAGCACTCATGCATATTATTTATATAATGGTGTGTTGTACTAGCTTAATTCTGCATCTATGTATTTAAAATAAATGTGTTCTGTTTCTCCCCTGCACTCCTGTGTGCTTCCCCAGAGATTCTAGTTTTGTTTGTTTTTCTTTCTTTTTTTATTCCCGGGGACTTGGGTCAGTGTTATGACTACCGGAGCCACTTTGCACATGCTTAATGGAATGAACCAATAAGGAACAACTAGATGAAAGAAGATTTGCATGGAGGAAAAAAATGCAAAAACTAAGTTAGAGCAATGAGTGTTGTTAATTATCTCAGCTCTGACTGGATTGCATTAAGATGGGGAGGCTGGTAGTGAAGGATTGTTTCCTAATTCAATATGCACATGAGCAAACCAGGAAGGAGACTCTGTTTAATTTGGGATGAAGTATGGAAAGGGACGTTACTGGATGTCTACAGATAGGAAAGCCCTGCTCTATGAACTCACAAACTCTTTGTTTTGCTATAAAGAATTAGTGTCATGGGGGAAATAAATGCAGGAGGGACGATGCTTCCACTTATATCTGGGGAGTTAAGTGTACAAACAAAATACCACTTTGCAGTCAGATTGAGTAGTTTGCAGCTCTCCTTTTTCATGAATTCATTTTAAATTGAGAGCCAATGGCAAATTACTTTTACTCCAACTACCTACCTGACACGACAAATGCATGCTTCTATGGTCAAAGTATAAAGATTAAAAAGAACAGAGAGTGCTGGATGGAGGAGTCATTTGTGTTTGCCATGAGAAAGAAAATAAAACTAATAGTATCAATCAGCCTCAACAGCATCATCAAGCATTTATCTGTTAGTGTCCCTGTGTGAGGTCCCATGGAGAGTAAATTATGTAGCTATGACCCTTACTTATTATTAGTTTAAGATGAAAACATGCCACTGAAAGGCTTCGGTTAAATTTGCAGAGTTAAACACTGAACAAATACAAAAGGTAAAGCCCTTAAATGGAGAAGCGCATTCTGAAGAATGAAGTTTGACGCCGGAACAGCGGCACTGGTAGTTTCAGTTAATGAGGTCAAGGGGAAATCGCTACCTTTCTCCCCATGAGTCAAGGAAAGTTTTATTTGTGGTTTGACACCTACTCCTTCCAGATGTCTAAGTAACTCCATGTAAGCCCGAAAGAGAACTCCCTGCAAGGATATCTGCAGATCTCAGTTGCTCACAGTGCTCGTCAGAAGATTGGTGCAAGGAACAAAACAGGAAATCTCTGCACACTCAAGGCAGTGGAAGGCTTTCTTCAGTCCGTGTGCCCTGAAAAACCTACAGCTTTCATAGTCAGTCATTCTGCGGCCAGTGAAGGAAATTTTGTAACTCACAAAAGCAATTTCTTAACATCAAGTGGCTGAATCAATTTCATTTTAGAAGAGCATGATTGAGTCTGTATCTCCGTCCCGTGTCTTCCTCCTGTGCTGTGTCCCTGCCGCTGGAATGTTCTAGAGCAGCTACTATCTCAATATTTCCAGATGTGAGCAGAAAATGTGCTGCTAAACAATGGATAGATGCGTGCACATAGGGTTGGTTTCTTTTTAATCAGAACAAATTCATTCGCGAGTAAAGCTCACCATCTGCTGTACTTAGACGATTAAGATCACGTTATTTTTTGGGCACAACCATACCGAAAGTATGTTAACTAGTTAACTTTATCAGTTAAAAAAAAGTTCCATTTCAATATAGATATATTATAGATTAGGCCAGTGTTAGCTTAATATATAAAAGACTATTCCAGTTTTCCCTTAAAAGAAAAAGAAAATCATGAGAAAATCTATTTGTGAGTGATTAGTCAAGAAAATATCAAAGTCCAAAAATACCCCATTAGAACGTCATGGATAAGAGTATTCATTTCTCAGAGAAACATAGCTCCCCCTCTTAGCTCACATGCAACATCCTCTTATTTTGGTCCAGAATATGTGAGGAAATGAAAGCAGCAGACAGGGAAAAGTCTGTATCAGGAGAAATAGATGCAATGAATGTCTCCAGATAAAAAACAGTTAAGGATATTAAGTTGATTAAAGTAGATCAAAGGAAGTTAAAAGGGATCAAGAGAAAAAGATATTCCCAAGAACAAATAATTTGGGTGTGAGTCATGATTGCCCTGGAGGGAAGAGAGTGGGTGGGTCCATGAGAGAAGACTCTACATTGCCAAATCTCAAATAAATTTGCTTCAAACTTCTCCAGATAAGTTCAAAATATGATCCTGATGCTGATTGTTTCTCCTGAAAGTCATGCACACACACACTGTGTTTCTAAGACAAAAGGAAGCGTGACATTTCCAAGTCATACAGAATGCAAGTGGTAGAAATGGGGCTAGAACTCATCACCTTATTGAGACCAATCTTTCTCTAAACTGAGAAAAATTGAGTAAACTGTAGCTACGAGTAGTTGATTCAGGTTTTAATATTAGTCCCTTGGCTACATAAAATTATCCCTCAGTGGAGTATTTGGAGATGATTTGTGAACTACAAGCCCAGTCAACTACTGATCAACACTCAATTTCTATCTGAAGTTTTCAACTACCGTTAACAGTACATTCATTGCCATTGCTATTCATTATTATTTGTGAGAGGACTACTGTTGGTTAATGACCCAATTACATGAACAAGTGGCTATTATCCAAGGGAAGTGTTGAAAAAATGTACACTGAGAAACAATAATGATCCCTTGGATTGGATCCAAGTAGACATGGCACTACCCAGGAATCTTCCTGTTCTGGTCATTGCTCTTCCTGGTCAGGAGTCCCTTCATGCACCTTGTGTTATGGCCTCGAGGCTTGATATCTGTTCCATGGAGCTTATAGTCTTTGCAGCTGGGACGTATTGTTCTACAGAGGTTTGTGCTGTACTCTATTGGTGTTAAGGTTGATTGGCCTTCGGTGATTCAATGAGGCTCAGAGGGAATTCTACATGCTTGAGCATGATGTGGTCACGTGTCCTAGAAGAAAGGGAGGGGAAATGCTACCCTATTTAGCAGAGAATAGCAGAGAACATTTGTGCGGCTGGCCAAAACATGGCAAGATACTTGGCAAACAATTTTATCTCAGATCTGAACGATATGTTTTAAGAGAAAAGTGATTTATTCTTAATGAATTTAGAAGCTATTTATGTTTTTTATGTACTCACATCTTCTAAAGAAACATTCATTTACACTGGAAGATGTCGCAATATTGTAAATGTACAGACCAGAGGCAGAAGTGCCCAGCAATGACTTAAATGGAAATATGTCTTCATCTCACTATATATTTTGTCAACTTTGCTATAAAACATAGTCTTGAATCTGCTAGAACCACATACCTGCAATCATTTAGCAAATAGAGTTTTGTTTTGTTTTTTCCAACCACTATTTATCTGGCAATTCTTTCCTACCAGTGCTTCAAATTTTATGTAGGTTATAAAATTTAACTAATTTGAAGTGATTACTGTGTTCTCCAACTCACTTGTGATGAAATTAAAGCTTTAAAACACATAGTTAGTGGTTGGAAAAGCTGGGATTCAAACCCAGCTTTATCTTATTTCAGGATTAGTGGGAGCAAAGCCCCTATTCTAGAAGGAGTGGCAGTAGGAAGGACCATGTTGGTAGTGCCAGGACTAAATTACTCTTGACTTCTTGCAGATAATTAATGCTCCTTGTGATCATTTGACATGGCAAGGCATGTTTTCTTACCTCTCCACTCTTTACCTGTCCTCTGTCGTACTTTCTGTTTTCTCTGTTCTGCTCAACGTATGTTCCCTAGCTGTCCTGAAAGGTATAGTCACTAGCACTCATTGGCATTTTGACCAATGCTGGAAATAACTGTGAATCTAGAAATGTGATCTCCTTTTGATTAGCACTAGGGATACAATCTCTAAGAGACAGTCTTCAGGATATGAAAATAGATGCAAACTCGGGCCCCTCATACCTCATACCAGGGCCTCAAGTACCTGGCTTCTTGTGAATGCCCAAGGGCCAGTAATGATTTGTAATCTCTCTAGTGATCAACTTCAGTTTACACTTTACGCCTTTTTGCAGTAGATTGATTTATCAAATCCATGGGGCTATTTGGCTCCTTTCTTGCAAGAAATTAAGTTTCTGATTTAACTGATTGCTTCCCTAACGTTTCCAGAGCTGTAACCAGTAAGCCTCAAAGAGATGTCTTCATGTCTTTGGATTTTAAACCCCTAAGACAGTACCCGACACCACAACTTGCTGGGTACATTTCAGTGACTAAATAAATCAAGTGGCAGGACATTGACTTTCCGCTCCCAGGACTGCTCTTGAATTCTTCAGACCTTGCACCTGGAGTCCTTCAATTGTCTGTTCTCCTCCAATGTGCTTACAAGTGAAATCAATGGGCTTCTTTACACTTTCCTGCATTGGCCCTCATTTCAGCGTTTTCCAATTAAAAGCAAGACACCTCACAACACAACCCTTTCTTGGTTTCATTATGGATAGCCTCACAAACTGACAAGGGGAGTCCCACTTCTTCTTTAAGAAAGCATCAACTTTTCACAGACATTTGAGCTGGGTACTGTTTCTATGAAAACAAAAAGTTGAGTTATTATTTTTTTACATTCCATAAAAATGTACTCCTGAAGAGCTAAGGAAACATCAATATATTTATTAACATTAATCGAATATATGAGTCTTTAGGAAGAGAGAGGGAGTTTGAGGATAAATAATGAGTGAAGAGAAAGAAAGTAGGGTCTGAACCAGTAGTCACCAAATGGCAAATATCCAATGGCATATTTAGAATAAAACAGTATTAGAAAATAGTAGACAGTGTTGAACATCTCACAGCCATTTGAAAATATCATTTAGTTCTACTGTTATCATTACTATTACTTCCACTGTTGCTTTTACTGCCACTTCTAGGGCTGGTTAGCATAATGGTGTTACCGTGTTAAATATTATATTTATTTTCTCATTTAATACTCTTAAGATGCATATATTATTATCTGCACTTTACAAAGGAGGCTTCTGGAACTCTCCTAAGATCTCAGAAGTAGTAGGATATCAGCCTGGAATTTAAACCTAGCTTTGTCAATCTTAGAGGTGTGTGCTCTTTCTACTATGTCAGAAAAATTACAAAGGTGACTTATTTTTACCCTAGTTTTTAATTTGACTTCCTTTTTTCCCCTGACTTTTTTTTCCCCTCTAATTTACTGAAATATAGGACCTCTTTTATCTACTTTTTCCTCCCAGTGGTGAATGGTATTTTAATTTTACCTTCCATCTTGTCAAAACTTAACTTCAGAGGATCTGAAATCAATTTTATCCTGTGTGTGTGTTAAAACATTCTACTCCATGTATATATTCAGATAGTGAATTAATAATTGGAAAGAACATGGGATTTAGAATTGTGAAACTTGTGTTACAAGGCCCTAAGCCTCACATTATTTCTATTAAACCTCTCCTTAGCCTCAGCTCCCATATTGATACAATAGGAACAAAAGTATTTTCTCTGCCTGCCACATGGGGCGATTGGGAGGGATACATGAAATCACACTTGTAGAAGTGGTTTGTAATCGGGCAGGGATATGAGTTTTAATTTTGCATTTGTTTGCCCAAAACTTCATGGCTAATTTTGGGTTGAAAGGCTTAACTTTACCTGTTGAATTTCAGGCATTAATGAAAAAGCGAGAAAAGAATCTTACATCACGAGGAGCCATTTCTGATACTTGGAATCAGAACAAGTAGCTATTTGCCTCCTCTGGTTACACAGAAGCAGAACCGTTAATGAGGCAGACCAACAGTGCTTGGAGCAAGGACCGTAGCAGCGATGTAACAATCCTCATTCCTGTCAGGTGGAAAGGAGGATGGGCTCTCTGTGGTTTAGGCTTGGGTGTCCTGAGGATTAGCATGTTTGTGCTCCACTTCTTTGAGAAATACTGTAAGAATACCAGTGAGCAGGCAGCTCTAACTGTTGAGAGGACAAGAGCAGCAGCTGCAGTTTTAAGGCCTTTTGCAAGGGTTGGGTTCAAAACCAATAAATCAGAACTGACTTTCAGAAGTATTTCTATTTCAGGATTCATCATTTTGGGGCTTCTATCCAGGAATGAATCTGGACTTTGAACATAAAAAATGTGGAGCTCATTTTCTTTGAATAAAAGTGTATGGGACGATCCATAAGATATTGTCTGCGGTATTTTGGAAACAGCCCTTAACTCTTTTTTGACAACTGGTACCAGTGCATGTGTTATGCATGCTGGAGACCCCAAGGGAGGGAAGGTGTAATAAGCAGCAATAAGACAAGCAGAAAGACACACACACACACACACACACACACACACACACACACGGAGGCAATGCTGAAACCATATGAGATAGTAATTGTGAGCACAGCGTCGTTTTGTCTATTTCACCGAATTGTCACAGCGCTTTTGGGATTACAACAGCGTTCATCTCAATCATAATCTGAGAACACCACCATTTATCAACAGGAAACTTTCTGCAAAGATAATTCCAGAGATTTCTAGTTCATGTCCTTCACTGTAAATGAAAATAAAGGAAGACATGTCTTTGCAAAAATGATTTGAGTCAAAGAAATGCTAAATGTTGGAAGTCTAATTTTTTAGGCTGGTTTCCTCCCCTGCTTATCGCCCTAAATGCAATTGTCCACTGTCACCTCCTTGACACCAGCATCCATTTCAGACTTATCTTTGTCTCCAGAATCATCTAACACTTCTTACATCACTGAATAAATGAAATAACCCTTTGGAAGTCCTCATAGCATGGTGTAGCTCTTTTTGATCACTTTTCACAGTTGCTTTTTAAACTTGTTTGAATGATTTTTTGGGTGTCTGTCTCTCTACTAATGTGCATGGGCCCTGATTCTAGGGAATGGCATCTGTTCTTTCTCATCTCTGCATCCACAGTGCCTCACCCACCTCCTGGTACAGAGAGATTTTCAATTACAAGTTGTGGAATGAGTGATGTGTAAATGAGTAGATACGTGAGTGATTTTTAAACATTTAAGAGTTTGGTAACTTGAATTGGAAAAATTTGGTATCACATCTTTCAGTTTAATAGCTTCATATAAAAATTACCTTGACTTGCCACTTCATAAAACTATGCTTTGCATAAAAGTTTGTAAGCCATCCCACTCATTGAAATACTTAATTAACAAAAGCATATTTTTATTTTAAATTCAGATTTATGAATTTTATTAAAAACAAAGTCTAATAGTGTTTTGAGATTTTTATCTAGTTTAAAACATGTTCATATTTGTTATTTTTTTTCCTAATTTATCTTCATACTACTTATTTAAGTGAATTTTGTCAGGCAATGGACAGATTTCCTGCTTTTTGGACTCCTTGACTGCAGGATCCATAAATACATAACTTATATATTAAATATATGAAATGGGAAGACATTGACACCTTTATTAGAGAATAGATGCGTTTGTTGGCACTATTTCTACAGAGGTAAGAGTTACAATTGTAAAAGAAATATCTGCATAATTGTAAAACTATAAATCTCTTATGATGACAGTGGCTTTCCATGAATAACTTTCATTTATAAGGAGAAACTTTTAGACTCTCAAGATAAACACATCTAGATCAGAAATGAAAGGAAAAACATATACACTACTGTTATCAGAAAACAGGATAAGGACAGCTACACACTGCACAATCAGATTAGCAGTATTTTCTAGGCAATAAATGGAAATGCTGGTAAAACAGTGGGAACTTAGGAAAATTGCCCTATTGTCCACTCTCATTTCCCAGTCGTCTTGACCCAATCACATTCCTTTTTGTTCTTCACCCTGCTATGTCTCCACATCCCTGCTGACTTTCCCCCAAACAGAAGCTCTCTCTCTCTCTATATATATATATATATAAATGGCAGCTGAAGTGTTCTGGTAACACATAGCCCCTCCTTCCCAGGCTTTCAAATGTGTAGAGTTGAGCGCACTGCGTATATTAGCAGCAGATGCCATCTGTGAGAAAGCTGCAGTCGGTGTCAGAACACTTGGTGATTCATTAAACCAGAATGTACTTGGCTGGATAATGCCTATGAAGAAGAAAGGGCACCCACAACACTATGAACTTGGTGCTGTGTCTTGTGGGAATACTAGCCCTGGAACCAATTTCTCCCTCTTTCTCCACATTCAATTCTTCCTTCTAGTCTTTCAAAAAACTTTTGCCTCTACTTGTGTCCTGAAACCCCACCAACATCTCTAGTCTCTGGATTACAAGACTCAACTTTCCACTAATGGGAAACAAGGTTACTTACACCACTTGCTTAAGGTCTACTTTGTTCCACACACTTCATATTCATGGTCTCTAATCCCATGAATGTTCCCGGTAGACAAATTAGTTTTCTACTAACTTGTAATCTTTATGGCAAATTTAGCACTTTGGAACAACACAGAGTTATTATACAGTTTCCACAGGTCATGGGTCCAGGCATGCTTTAGCTGACCTCACTCTTCAGGGTATCACAGGACTACAATTAAGGGGTCTGTTGGGCTGCAGTCTCATTTCACACTCATTGTTGGTAGAACTGGGTTCCTTGCAGTTGCAGGCCTGAGACCCTCAGCCCCTACAGGCCACCCTTTCTTGTGGGCAGTTTGCAGTAGGCTGTCTGCTCCCTCAAGGCCAGAAAGGAAGAGCTTTCTGCTCCCTCAAGGCCAGAAAGGAAGAGACTCAGGAAGCTCCCGGTCTCTCTGTTAAGGGATGTCACCTGATTGAGGCAAGCCCACCTGGGAAAATCCCTCTTTGGATTAATTCCAAATCAACTAACTTGAAATCTAAAATCCCTTCACTTTTGCCATACAATGTAACCTAATTACAGAGAGATGCCATCATAGCCACAGCTATGATGTGTCCTTCCCAAACACACTCAAGGGAAAGGGATTATACAGGGCATAGACACCAGGTGTTGGGAATTTGGGGGGCCATTTTAGAATTCTGTCTCCCACAGTCTACCCTCTGGACTACAAGATCCATGTCCTCTTGAAAAATGCACTCACCTTTCCCAAGTCTCCTGTTATAGCAACAGTTTAGCCTTCTGGGTATGATGTGTGAAGTACCATTCCTAGGGCACAGTTCTTCTCCCTCCATGGTCCTATGATACTAAAGAAACAAAATATTTGTTCCCAACATATTATTATTATTATTATTATTATTATGTGTTTAACGTACAAATCAGGAATAAGAGACCCAAGGAAATTTGAGTATCTCAGTACGCAGGAGCTAAAGCAGGCCTGCCAAACTCCAAGTTTATGTTCTTTCCACAGCTCAAGGTGCCCCTCTAGACACACACTTTTCTCACATCGTGTCTCGTTTGTGATCATCATTCTTCTTCACCAACCCTCAAAAAGAGAATGCAAAGCCGATGGCTATGAAACAGGATGGAAATGGCTTCCTATTAGTGTTAATTTATTGTTCATTCTTTGAATGACTATAAGAAGAAATTTATGTATACGTTTTTTCTTGAGATGGAGTTTTCGCTCTTGTTGCCCAGGCTGGAGCACAGTGGTGCCATCTCGGCTCACTGCAACCTCCACCTTCCAGGTTCCAGTGATTCTCCTACCACAGTAGCAGGGATTACAGGCGCCTGCCACCACAACTGGCTAATTTTTGTATCTTTAGTAGAGATGGGGTTTCTCCATGTTGGCCAGGCTGGTCTCTATCTCCTGACCTCTGGTGATCCACCTGCCTCGGCTTCCCAAAGTGCTGGGGTTACAGGCGTGAGCCACGGCGCCCTGCCTAGAAGAAATATTTTAAATGGTGTGATGGCTTGTTACTTTCAGTATTTTACAAAAAACTTATTTTTTAACCTGTTCAATAATTCTTTATGTGATCCTAGTGACTTTAATCATAATGCCAATCCTGGATTCTTCATGAACTCAGCATTTGGTTATGAAAATAAACTAATTAAATTAGATATCTGATAATGCAATCAACCTGAAGGAACTTAGACTCCAAAGCATTTTGATTTATTGGTGCTAATTTAGACAGGACAATGATTATTAATAGAATTGTTATTTCTGGGTCCTTCAGCATTAGGGGTTTGTGCAAAAGGGCCACAGAAAACCCAATTTCTGGGTCTCGGTAATTTCACTGCATCTGATTGAAAATGAGACTTTAAAAGTTTTATTAAAATCATTAAGAACCTCCAATGGGAACAATGTTATACATTACAAAAGTCGCCTTTTAAAAACTACCATTTTCTGGGGTATTATTTGTAGAAGCTAATGCAGCATTCAGCATGTCTAAATAAAAATCTTTCTTCAAAATTCAGCACCTGTGATTTTAGTCCACTTTCTATCACAACTTACACTCTACTAGTTTATACACCAGGTGTAAATTTCTTCCTTGCACTAAAGTGACAGAATTTTAGTTATAATTTAAAAATTAAGGACTGGTTTTGCAGTGGTTGAACCCATGTGTTCTCCTACAGAACTTTATAATGAAATAGAAGACTCAGTAAAATGCAATCTAATGAACAAAAGAAACCTTGATTTCAATTTCTTTATCTATGTAGTGGGGAATATGATTGAACATTTTCTGGTTAGTTCTATTCAGGTATGAGTTTAAGAATATTCCAAAAATGTGTGAGAGTGTGTGAGTGTGTGTGCACCACAATGATACTGAGTACCTTGAATCTAATACATATTTATTTCTTTATCTTTTGGTTTGCAAACTCATATTTTTAGCTTTCTACAATACGATTATATTTAATTATCACAATTAACCTTCTTCTACAGCCATTTCATGAACTTCAGATTCCACAGTTTCTGTCATTCATTTTTCTCTTTTTTGAAAAAGTGTAGGGGCATTGACCTATTGAATAGGAAGCAATATAGGTATGGTGCCCTGGTAACTAACACTGGCAGTCACAGAATTATAATAATAAGACTGTTAAAATTCCTTTTCTTTAGAGCCAGGGTCTATATCCTGTTTTCTCACTGACAAACAAGGGAACTCTCTGCGGGTCCATTAGATGGAGCAAGAAAACAAGAAGTGACGTTTCCAAGGGTGGTATCCTGGACCAGGTGATAAAGCCCTGTGGGGCAGGAACTATGTCTCTTTAACCCAGTATAGAAAATATTTGGTGTACTTTGTAAACAAATAATTTAGATAATGAATGGGACTGTGCTGTTAGGAATTCGTGTCATTAGAAGATGAGGCCATGGCAGGGCAAGTGGTGAAGCTTGGCTGCCTTCATTCCTTTTCTGGAAAAATACCGGCTCCCCAGCTGGTAGCAAGGGTAATGGCCAGGCATCTTTGCAGAATAAAAGTGAAATTTATGCTGATGATTTCTCCTTACTACCAGGATGAAAATGATCGTTTTTGATGTTGTTAATATTAGTATTTTTATCCAGAGACATTCCTATGGGACTATCACTGCCTTAGGACTTTTACACCTTATCCATAATAGAATTTGGTCAGTATGTGAGTTGAATCAAGAGATGGAAACTTTCCAGTTACTGAACCAGGGCAGATCATTCCTTAGACTTGTCGCTTCAACAGTTTTACCTGAAAATACCTGCAGATTGCTTTCCACAGCCTAGTTTGTTTCTTAATTAGCAGGATTCTCCTGCAGGCAAACACCTGCACAATCTTACCAGCTGTTCCAGGCAGGTGAGAGAAGCCTACCTGTTCTTTGCAGGAAGACCCTCAAACCACACTCGTCGCTGCTTCCACAACTTCCTATGTAGATTTGTTCTATATTGAAAGTAAAAAGTGAGATCAGGCATTCTCTTCTCTTTCTTCCTGGAAAGTCAAAAGTAACACGCATAAAATGCACTGCCAGATCATTTAAAATATTAATAAAAAATCAACCTCAGATTTGAGGAAATGAGTGTGTTTTTCCCATTTGATGCCTCATCAGTAAGTTGTCTTTTAAAATTTTTTTTTCTTTTTTTTTTTTACCCTGGGAGTGTACCTCGTGATGATAGCCATGTATAATTCATAAAGGAAAATAGATTTAAATAAGCCTGCTCAGTAGTTCAGTGTGTGAAAATTCAACAAGCTAGTTTCTCTTTTCACTGGGCCTGCAGTCACTTTTCCTCCTACAAGCTCCCTCATTCCGCATTGTATTTACTTTTTGTATTTTGGATCATAATATGTTTCCAAATGTATATTTAAAGAAGACAACTCTGAGGGACACAAGAACAGCACCATAAATGAAAAGTAGGATTGTATTTTCATGTAAATCACATTTGATAAATATTTAAATTACTTTCTTTTGCAGAATAAAAGTGTATGAATACACATTACATTTAAGCTACAAATTATGCTGAAGGAGTTTTACCTTGTGGAGTTATTGTTTACAGCAATGTATATTAAATTTTTTCTGTTCTTACATAATTCCTCGAGACATTTTACTGACTAAGGTCTTGCAAAGGTGAGTGAGAATTCATCTAAATTTGATAAGAGTGTCGTTGCACTCAACCACTAAACGATCTTTTATTCACACTCAAAATTTTAAAGTTTGATACAGAACGAATACGAAAGTCACATTTTATTTGGGAGAGTAAGCATTATATAAACTATAACTTGCAAAAACGCTATCTAATCTCACTAATTCTGATCCTGCTAATTTGGATTTAGTAATCATTCAAAGACAGTAAGTATACATTAAAAAAAATGATTATGGTCTGAAAGGAAGAAAATCAGTGTACCAGATCTGAGAATTTTGAATCCAAAGAGCATGCAATAGTGATAAACTAAAACTGCCATTTATTATGTGCTTATGATGTGCCAGGAATTGTAAAAACACGAGGATGCTATTTCTATTAATGTTCAAGTGTTGATGGCGGAAGTCATATTATCTGAGTTTTTCTGATGATGAAAGGACGGCTAAAGAGCTTAGGAGACTATGCCATGATCACACAGTTACAAGTATCAATTAATCAAAACCCAAATCTGACCAGAAATTTTGTGCTTTTAATTAGAAACAATTTTACTATTTTCTCAATTTCTTTTCTAACAACTAAGTCCTCTACGGAAAAGGACTTAGCGTCTGTAGCATTTTATTAATTGATGTAGATCAATCTTGAATTATCATTTTCCTTTACTGAAATTTGCATTTGTATATCTTGGTTGGCCATATAAAGTGACTCAAAAGTAATACAGTTGAAAAATGTGTAATTGTTCTAATCTTTACTTTTCTCTCTGTGTTTAATTAGTAAGTTCTTACTATATTGAAAGTGTACCCCTGAAAATAAGTTAAGAAGCAGAATGCCATTACATAATTTTCACAGTTCATCACCTTGAAAAAATCCTGCACCAGTTACCTAACATTAGGTAATTCTGCATCGAATTAGAGAAAATAAACAAAAAAAGAGAATTTTATCTGAGCACATGTAACTATTACTTTCCTATCTCTAAGGCTTAGAGACCAATTTATACTTTAATAATAAAATAAATATCTTTTAATTTGAATAGATCATTATGCAATAGAATGCATTATACAAAAACCTTAGGAATGATTGTTTTTTAATTACTTCTTTGTTTAAAAAAGTAAAGTTTTTAAAACTTCATCCCTTCCTGTATACCTTTTATTGATTAAGATATTGAAGTTTGGACAGGATCATTCCATCAATAAGAAAACCATGATTTTCCAATTCATGTCATTCTTCTTTAATACAAGTAAGGCCTTTTATAAATTGAGCAATTGTCACTTGTGGTATCTAATGATTCTGTTTCAAAAATATCAGTATTAAATTGTGTCCAGGTACCTGTGGAGACACTTGTTTAAATAATGGTGCCCTTGCCTATGTTTTTAAATAATAAGTGGATTTGTTACATTTTCTTTCTTTTCTTTTTTTTTTTTTTTTTTTTTTTTGAGACGGAGTCTCGCTCTGTCGCCCAGGCTGGAGTGCAGTGGCGGGATCTCGGCTCACTGCAAGCTCCGCCTCCCGGGTTCACGCCATTCTCCTGCCTCAGCCTCCCAAGTAGCTGGGACTACAGGCGCCCGCCACTACGCCCGGCTAATTTTTTTGTATTTTTAGTAGAGACGGGGTTTCACCGTTTTAGCCGGGATGGTCTCGATCTCCTGACCTCGTGATCCGCCCGCCTCGGCCTCCCAAAGTGCTGGGATTACAGGCGTGAGCCACCGCGCCCGGCCCATTTTCTATATGTATAATTTGTTATTGGGTTTAATCTTGAAATACAAATATTCAACTGAAATTTCTCTCACCTTTAAAAAAATCTGTTCATCAGGTTGAGGAAGAAATGTATACCCCTTAATTGGATTCTACTTTAATTGTCTTCTTGTTGAGGCTGGTTGTTCTTGGGATTTCTGACTTGGTTCAATTATTAAATACCACACACTACTAGAGAATTGCCTTCAGGAGAGAAACATCTGCTCTATCATGGGTCTGTATTTCAGTATGCTTCTAGATCAACTTATTAACTTGCTTATAATCCAGTCTCTCAATCTGTAAATGATAGGTGTGTAATTCAACCTAATTCACAAGGCAAAGTGGAAATCTACAAGTTACCTTAAAAAAAAAAAAAAAAAAAAGCTCTGGTTAAATGAATGGTGCTAGCACTTGGGGGAGGACTGAAATTTGGCCAGAGGAATAGCTTGCGTCTGCTCTATCATCTGATTAGCCCAGTATGCAGGCCAGGATCTCAGCGAGGTAAGCATGAGATGAAAATGAGCAAGTGGGAGTTTATTAGGAAGTGCTCTTGGGACTCACATCTGTAGGAGAAGGGAAGGAAGCAAAACTGTTCAGGGAATGAGGCTGGATGTGATACAGTCACAAGGAAGACCTCATACCCCAGATAGCTCCAGAGCTGGGTGGCCCTTCAAAGTGGTCACACGTTGAATCCAGGGACTTGCGTCTTTATACCCTCATCAATCTGTCATTGAATACGAAGGCAGGATGCATCCTTGAGCAAAGCAGCTCTCTTTAGCTGAGTGCAATTACTAGACAGAGGATTGTCAGCCAATGGCAAGCCCAGCACTTGGGACACTTGGTTATTTATTCTTGACCGGGCAACTGGGCAGAAACACTCAGTATCAGTGACATCTAGGTTTGTCTGGATGAATGAGGAAAACCAACGCTGGAGCACACACTGGTGCCCGTGTGGCCTTAACCTAATCAACATATGATTTAGAACCCTATCTCTTCTAAAGCATATATTCTAATAAGGCATTAGAATCAGAGAAGCGGCCTTCAAAAATGACAACATAATGAAATACTTTGCTGAGACATAAGACTGATTATTGTTATTACATTTCAAGCATTGAGAAAATATTTTTCTGAAAATAAACGTATAATTATGAATATAACAAGTTCTAAACTTTCAAGGGAATTGTTGTTTTCCACTTTTGTGTAAAATCTTTGTGTTTTTTTCATGTCTAAGGAAGTTTCCAGATGAAAATTTTTCACTGTGGCTGGGCATGGTGGCTCACATCTGTAACCCCAGCACTTTGAGAGGCTGAGGCGGGTGAATCATCTGAGGTCATGAGTTCAAGACCAGCCTGGCCAACATGGTGAAACCCCGTCTCTACTGAAAACACACAAAAAAATTAGCTGGTCATGGTGGCAGGAGCCTGTACTCCCAGCTACTTGGGAGACTGAGGCAGGAGAATTGCTTGAACTCGGGAGGCAAAAGTTGCAGTGAGTCAAGATCATCCCATTGTATTCCAGCCTGGGTAACAAGAGTGAAACTCCATCAAAAAAGAAAGGAAGGAAGGAAGGGAGAAAGAGAGATAGAGAAAGAGAGAGGGAAAGAGAGAGAGAGAAAGAGAGAGAAAGAGAGGGAAAGAGAGAGAGAAAGAGAGAGGGAAAGAGAGAGAGAAAGAAAGAAAGAAGAAGGCAGGCAGGAAGGAAGAAAGGAAAGAAGAGAAAGAAAGAAAGAAAGTTTTTCACTAATAGGTCTGTGCTTCTTTCTATTTAACACATTTGCTAACTTTCTAGTCAACAACAGTATGGTACCGAGATATGAGAAGCAAAATAATATGATTGCAAAGCCCCCAAATAATAGCAGCTTAAATAAAATAGAAGTTTCTTTCCCTCTCTCTCTCACACACAGATGTGAGCTGATGTGGGAGCTCTGCCCTGCTGAAGTTCTTAAGGGCCGGGCTTCTTCTGTCTTACTCTACCTCTCTAGAATATCACTTTCTTTGCATGGTCCACACAGTTTATTACAAGGTGCACTTTGCAGCCAGCAAGATAAGGAAAAAAATAAGTATTAACAAAAGCCACGTTACTTCCTTAAAGGACAAGACTTGGGAGTTCCACATCCTGCCTGCTCGCGCATCCTCTTGGCCAGCACTGAGTCACTTGGCCTCACCTGCCTGCCAGCGAGTCTGGGAAACGTGGTCTATAACTGGGTTGCCTTATGCCCTGAAAGTAGTAATATCTACTGTTACAGCCTATAGGAAAGGGTGAGTGTATAATTTAGCTCTCTCTTCCATGTGCTGTACCGACTGGGTTTCCAAAATCTGAAAATCTGAAATGCTCCAAAATCCAAAACCTCTTGAGCATGGACATGATACTCCAGAGAAATGCTCACACTGGAGCATTTTGGATTTCGGATTTTCAGATCTGAGAGCTCAACTGGTAAATATATTGCAGATATTCCAAAATCCAAACATTTCAAAATCTGAAACTCTTCTGGTCCCAAGCATTTTGAATAAGGGGAACTGAACCTGTATTCATAATGAATACAACAAACAACCACAAATAATCCTGGCATTTAGAATGAATGCACAGTGCAATTTGCTTTTGTAATGTGGTGGTACCACCTCAGAGATTCAGAACAAAATTAACTGATGGCATTTTTAAAACATTAGGTGAGGGGAGTATGGCAGTTACCAATCTATTGCCTCTTGGCTCCAAGGAAACCTGTATTGTCCTGCTTGTGGCTTCTCATCCTTTCTCCTTGGACAGTTGGCATGCCATTAAGCTTCGTTGGCAGAAGGCACTCGTGGGAACCTAGGAGAGGAATGGGTTCTTCCTCTTGGGTCCAGCCTGTGCTCACTCTCAGTAGGCTCCTGCAGTGTGTGGCAGCTGGTGGTGTGGCGGGAACCTAGCAGAGGAATGGGTTCATCATCCTGGGCCAGCCTGTGCTCGCTCTCAGTAGGCTCCTGCAGTGTGTGGCAGCTGGTGGTGCAGGACATTCCCTGACACCAAGAGGGAGGTTTCCCAATGTGCCATTTCCGGTAACAAATTCCAAGTGGGACTTGTGTGGGCATCTCTCCATTAGTGACGTCCCTCTGACACTCAAGAGGGCAGTTTCTCAGTGACTACTGCTGGCATGGCACCTCAGCAACTCCGCATCCCCAGGGCCACTGCCATGCCCTCTCCAGTGAGGTCTGGATCTCAGCCCTGGAGGGGCAGGGTCCTTTTCCAGATTTTTTCTTACCTTGGGTGTGTTCTCTCAGCGTTTGGAATAGAATCTGCTATTCTATATTCTTTAGAATTACCTATACTTCTTGGTATCCCAAGCTATGATTCCAATCCTCTGTTACAGTTAAAAAAATTGTATTTTACACATTCTCTATTGAATTTACTGGATAGAATCTGTTTCCTGATTGAAGCCTGTCTGATACCATTAGGGAAGTCGGTCATATTAAGATAGCCATAAGGGTGCCACCATTTCCTATGTAAGATACAGGCACTTATGGCATCTTCCTGTGTCATTTTTGAGGTCTATTGCTCATGTTAAAGCTCAGGTATCCTGAGGATTTTGCTCTAGTAAATGTCATACAAATCGAGGAATACAGAAATTAATTGCTTCTGTATTAAAACGTTGCTTGTTTGAAAGTACTGAGAATTCATGGGAAGAGAATTAGTGTGGGTGTTTTAAAAAATTAAATCACTGTTATGCTTTGATATTTTCCATTCTTTATCAACATCAGATAAAAAGCAAGCCTTTGGAGTTCCTCCAAAAATTAAGTTTCTTCTCCTACACTACACACTCTATGCTTTTAGGGAAGAATATTCACATTACATATAAGGAAAATGCCTCGTTTTGATAGGAAATTACAGTTTCTGGATTAGTGACATATTGTTTGAGATAGTCTTATTAGCTGCCCTGCATCCCTAGCCCAGATGATGTTTTCAAACACTGTAGCTCTAGAAATCAAGTTATATATGCAACAAAATTTTGCCAACTGCCCTTTTAATTAGGGTGTAATGCCAAAAAATATTATGATATTATTTTCCTTTTTCCAAACTAGCATCTGGCCTAAGAGAATGACAGCAGAGAGATAAATTTCTTGAAGTCAGGTATATACAGTAGGGAAAGTATTTTCTTCTATTCATAGTTACCATTATTCTTATTTATTACCTGTTCACATTCAGTAAATTTAGCAGAATTATTATTTATAGATTGTAAAAGATTTTTTTAAAACATAATTTTGTCAAAAATATATATATTTAAAACTAGAAGTAATCTATTTTGGTTTTAGCAGCAACTTTTGCTTTGTATATTTTTGTCACTGTGAAACATTTTTTACTTTGATTCAGTTTCATACATTTTTAAAACTACCATCTAAATGCGATTTTGGAAATCTTGTAAGTGTGTTGTAAAGGAGGAGGACAGAATGTTTCGCTTTTAATGAGGCCTGTTTTCATACTGGATTGCATCCATTGATATTCTTATTTTTCCATATTTTGCATCAACTGTCCATTGAGGTTTTTAATGGTTTACTTTACTTTTTCTATTTAGATCAAATTTACAAGCATAAAACATTACATAAATTTAGGTAAATCTCCTAACTTCATCAAAACTATATATAGATATTTGATGGCCAAATTCTGTGGACTTTGGCATTGGAGGGTAGCGGTATGTGGAGTCAATGGATGGGAATGGTGGCATCTTTATGACTTAATTTCCCAGTATAAAGTCTTTCTTTTTAAATAGTTAAACATCATAACACATTGCCCAGGTATTAGGTTCTTATAAATGCACCATTGTATTCTGGCTTTTTCTCCTACAGCCAATCTTAAACTATCTCTTCAAGCTCAGTGTAAAATATAGACAGGTAAAGGGGAAGATCTTGGTATGGAATCCTAGGAAGCTGCTTCAAGTTGAAATACAAAGTGAGACTTATACAACAGCTTTTCTACCAGTAATTAAAAAGCCTAATGTCTTTGGAGTATTATTAAGTTGACTGATTTTTGTACAGGACTCCACATTATCTTCATTTAATAACTTTCCAAGAAGTATTTGCAGAGGGAATAACAGTAGTCCATATTTAAGTGTGCAGTAGCCCCCCCTTTATCCACGGGGGCTACGTTTCATGGACCCCAGTGGATGCCCAAAACAACGTTGAACCCTATATATACCACGTTTTTTCTATACATACATACTTACGATAAAGTTTAATTTATTAATTAGGCACAGCAAGAGATTAACAACAATATCTAATAATAAAATAGAACAAATATAACAATATACTTTAATAAAAATTAGGTGAATAAAAGTTCTCTCTCTCAAAATACCTTGTTATACTATATTCACCCTTCTTTCTGTGATCTGTCAATCTGATAACCTAGAGGACTACCAAGTGACCAGGAGCGTACTAGACTATCTCCTAGATGCAGATTTTCAGGATACCAAGCCTTACAACAGTTTTCAATGGGAAGGGTATGAAAATGGCTTATTTCCACGGTTAAAATTTAAGGCAACTGCACTGCAAAATTCCAACCTATAGTTGTCAGCACTGAGTATATGACAATAATTCCTAGCAAGGGACAACTGAGATCCAGTGCCATGCTCTCTCTTAACAAGTCTTCCCATTCTTTCTTACTTTGTATTGTCACTTTGGGTCTTTTGCATGTCCAATGACAAAGCCATCACAAAACTCTCAAAAACTGATCCTATAATGACAGCAGTGTTTCACTTTATAAACTCAAGTACTCCAAACAGTAATTGAGATCAGAACAGAAATATGAACGGTACGTGTGCATTTTAAAATAATATTAGTAACAAAATGATTAATTTATTAAATGAACTAACCATATTGCCACACAAAGACAGCCCAGTATGCAGGCTCAAGGCCTGAAGAGTGGAATATAAACACATGTACTCCAAACAAGAAGAAAGTGGGCACTGGATAGCACTTCTAAGAATACTTAATTGTGTGCATATTTTTTTGTTGTTGTAATTTGGATGAATTCCAACTTTTCTGAAAGAAAACATTTGCTTACATATTAAGAAAATATATAGCAGAAAAACAGAAAGGTAACAAATACCAATTTTTTTCTTTTTAAAGAAAATATTTAAATTATTTTAATGGGTGAATATACATGAAAATGATCCATTCAGTTCACTCTGCTTAATAAAAGTTATTTCAAATAAAAAAGTCATTGTAAGTCAGGGTGTTACTATTTACATATCTTATCCATATTGTCTTTATATGTTTCTTCTTTATGTTGAAGCTTGTTAGCAGTTTATGGTTTGTTAAAAATGGCTGATGCCACTAAGCTCAAAGTAAATGAACATTTATGTGCCAAAGGCCCCCTATAGACTGGTTAGTACGTATGCCAAGGAAACAAATCTCAGATAACTGGATTTTCATTTTAGCTTTGTGGATTACCTTGAATGCGTTATATATTTGTATTAACATAAGAAAATATAAATAATGTCTTTCACGTAACAAAATAATTCTATGTCTTAGGTGAAATAACTCCACTCATATTTTCCCCTGCCAAATAAAAAGTGCTGAGCACAATCTTTCATGTAAGATCTCATTTCTCCTTTTAAACTTCTCCTATGAATGAAAACCAAATGGCAACGCAGCATTGAAAACCAATGCCTACAAAAAGTACACAGAGTTTGTAACATTAAAAAAAAGCAGGAGCTAATGACACATAACAGGTAAATAAAGGGGGAGGGGACCCCTGAACTTATACCAGGCGTCCAGGATAACCCTCTTGAAGTCTATTAGAAACATGCATTCATCAGTACAGCTCTTTGAAGGGCTTGGAAGATGTGAGGTTTGAAGGAAAAACAAAATGCTATTTTTTTTAAAAAATAAAAAGTGCTGAAAAGGTAGGGCTGCTTGAATTGTTAACCAATTCAAACCTAAATGTTCTGGGTGAGACCTCCATTGCAATTTACCCAGAAGGTGGGAGAAATGTTTCTGATATATGTGGAATAAATACAGAAATCAGCAACATAATAGAAAAACAATGTGCCCTTCAACATCAAACTGACAACAGGAAAAATCTCTCCATGTTCTTCTTTCTTAGTTCATGCGTTTATTAAACACACACATGTGAACTGCACCAGGTACTCTAAGTTGGAGAGCTTAGGTTGGTATAATCACAACCTTGGTGTGAGTCCATATCAATACATCTTTGAGTTAATAGTAATGCTATTAAAATAAATGGGCCGAACCATTGCGATTTTTAATCACTAGAAATTCCCTGATCTTATAAAGAGTTGCTCATTTGGAGTCCATTTTAAGTACTTTAAATCTTCGTTCAAAAATATTAGTAAATTTTTATTTTGCCTACACATTTGTTCATTCTACACACGCTACATCCAAACCTAGAGGGGAAATAGTAAAACTAACTTAAAATGAAAGATACTTTAACAACTACTTCTGCTTGCTTATTACATACATTGAATTGTTAAGATAGAAGAGAAAATAAACAAAGTCATTGTATTTTATTTTCTATGTAGGACACGGTGTCCAAGCAAAACAAACGGGGTTTGGTTGAACATGCAATACCGGATGTCGCCACTGGATGGCAATGCCAGCTTTTGTCTCTAAAATGTGCATGGTACCTTTGATGAGATTTAGCGCCACAACCCTTGGGTCCTAAGTTTCTCAGGACCATCAAAGTGTAAATACGCTGGGGTGAGTCTCCAGCACACATCTCGCATTCCTTTGGGATCTGTCGTCTTCTGGTGCACCCGATGCTAAGGCAGCCCATAAAGCTTCCTTATTTGCTATTACTCTTTGGGAACCTGATGTTCAATAGAATGCCAAGTTCATAAGAAGAAAAAAGGTTACAAAGAAAGTGAATAGGAGGTGAGATGGAAGTACAAATAGGGCACCAGATTCCTTTCCGCTGCTGAATGATGTTAAGCTTGCACAGGACCAACATCTCAAAAATATACTTGTTATGAATTCACTTTCTACCATATAGCAAGAATAGCCTTCACTCTTTTCAGCATTTTATAGTCTAAATCACTTGTTCTCACAAGCTATACACACACACATTCTGACATGTATACACACTTCAAATAAATGTTTGTAGTTGAGACAATTAGCTGATGACAGTTTAGTTTTCCACAGTGAATTGGTTTTAAACTTACAGTAAGGAAAAAACCTTTGAAAACATTATTTTAGGTATACTAAAGAAGCTAAAGGTTTTTACAACGAATTTTGTGTGGTGTTAAAATATATAAATATCTAAATTTGTATTAATTCAAAGATTAATGATAATTATGAAGGTGTTAGATATTATCTGGAACAATGAATCACTTCTGTTCAGAGAAGGAAGGATTTAATGCCAAATAACTTTGCTTAGTTATATGGATGGGAAACATGAGTGGGGTAAAATGATCACATTTTTAAGGTAAAATAAAGAGGGAGAAAATTTGTGTAAATATATGAAATAAAAAAAATTGATAAATTTAATTATCCTTAGTTCAGGAAACACATTTATCTATAACTCCTTATTACTATTTTAACATATAAAAACTTTGGCAAGCAGCATGTCATGCTTTTCTAGTAAACAAAACTTAATAATTAACTTTTACAATTAGCTGACATCTATGGAAGTTACAGTTTGCACTAGGCCTCTTATATATCTTTCATTTGCTTGTGAAAATGATGTTCACACCCCTCTGATGGAAGATGAAATGGTTAAGAATACCACAGAATAGCAAAACAAAACTTGAAACAACAACAAAACTAGAATGAAAATTTGAAGCATATTATAGTATGTTTAAGTTTAGCTAGCACGGGAAAAAATGTTTTTAAATACCAAATTTCAAATTAAGTTTTCTTATTCTTCACAACACAAAACACTAGCTGAATAAACATATATTATTCAATGAGTAGTAGGCATATAAAAGGAAAATTTTCTCTCTGTTAATATAAGCCACTTTTAATTTTGCATGCACAGATTTTGTCACTAGATCAAGAGATATTTTTGCATATACCTTACATGGATATATTTGGATTTGTAAAAACAAACTAGGCAAGATAAAGCCAGGTTTTGAATATTTATTTTTTGTTTACTTCCCACAAGAAGTCCATACCTTATGGGACAACAAACCAGTCAAGTATATTTGGGGTTTCCTGATTAAGAACCAGAAGGAGGCTGGACAACTGTAGCTCACGCCTGTAATCCTAGCATTTTGGGAGGCCGAGGCAGGTGGGTTGCCTGAGGTCAGGAGTTCAAGACCAGCCTGGCCAACATGGCAAAACCCCGTCTCAGTTACTCGGGAGGCTGAGGCAGGAGAATCACTTGAACCCGGGGGCAGAGGTTGCAGTCAGCTGAGATCGCACCACTTCACTCCAGCCTGGGCGAAAGAGCAAAACTCCGTTTCAAGAAACAACAACAACAATAATAAGAACCTGAAGGGACTGCTTCTGTCTTTCCATCACACTGGCAGATTCTTGCATAGAAGTGTGGCCTTATTCAGGAGCACTTGGAAACAACCAAGGCAGATCTACTTTGTGCTCTTAGATAATTGACTGAGTAAAAATACTAATTTTCAAAACTTGCTTCACTTTCATCACAAAGCCAGATATAAATGGAGACAAAGTATTTGGTGCATATTTTAATTTTCTATTTATTTGAAAACTAAAGTTGTATGGACTAAACTTTGTTTACATAAAGTAAGGTGAATTTGTAATACTGTCATATACACATGAAATACTATCATATGACATTTCATATATATGACATATATATGAAAGTCTGTCTAATATATGAAATCAAACAGATAATTCAAGCTAAAATCACTCCCCTTGGGGATCAGCAATCTCCCTTTTAATGTATATATTGATGTATGATTTAAAAACTTTTCATTTTTTAGAGTCCTAAGTTTCAGCTTCAATTTTTCTAGGGAAAATTTAGTCAAAGGTTTATGACTTCAAAGGATTGAAGAAATACCCTAATCTGAAATCTTGGAAAATGGAAAATGAGATCCTAAATATTTTTTCTCGTTATCTGTTGACCTTATACCTGAGAAGTAACTTTTAATTTTAAATTTCTTAGATCACAAAAGGATATTTCAGATTTCAAGAAATCATTGCTTCTAATGCTTCTAAAACATTGATTGCTTCTAATGCTTCTAAAACATTGATATTTGATCTTGATATTGAAAACAAATATCAATGTTTTAGAAGCACTATAAGCAATAATTTCTTTCTAAATCTTGACACTCGCTAAGAATGTAATGATGAGAGTGAACAGTACTTTGAATTTGTGTGTTTAGGCAAGCACACATACACACATATATGAGAAGACACATGACTTCTAGGACCACATAACTCAGAGTAGGGCTATATGTTGATGTTGCAATTTGGGAAATGATGCTTTATATATATACATATGTGTGTGTGTGTGTGTGTGTGTGTGTGTGTGTGTGTGTGTGTGTGTATATATATATAAATTTTGCATGGGATGGCGTTTTCCCGCGACTTATATGTTTGCCTGTTAATGCATGACAATAAATGCCAGTTGCATTAAATATGTCATTTAAGGAATAGAATATTAAAAGTGTATCACTGGATATGGACTTTGCGCTTGTTCACACACACCACCACCATCCCACAGAAGAAGACAGTGCAGACAGAACCCCGTCCTCAAAGGTCTTCAAGTTGAATGCAGATTGTAGGTTGCCCAATCTCTGTTGTTCTGTGCTTGGTTTGTATTGCAATGGCACTGGTTATCAGTAAGGCAAAGTATTCACTTTAGAGAATGTTTGAGAAAAGTTCTTTTAGAACAGCAGTGAAAGTAGCTCCACATTCCAGGAGGTTGCAGTTTTTATTTGCAGGATGTTTATGTATTTAGGCATTACATACATAAAAGTAAGAGTTCAAATTCTGACACAAGTAAATGATAAAAGTCAGGCAAATTCTTAAAGTCTTTCATAGTTGGAAAGTTCTTGGACAAATGGCTATCCATGTAGTGATTATACATTTTTAAGGCTATATTCTCCTTCCCCAGCCTTCCTGGTTCCCTAGGTACTGCCAAAGGATATTTTCAGTCCAATAAAATATACAGATTCCATAATTTGCCTCTATTCCTACTTGGCCTTCTTCATACTCATTTCACTGGGTTAATATTTGTTCTTAGCCATTTCCTCATTCTCTGGGTTGAACCCATCTTCTTGAAAGGTCACTTTCTCTGTGGGTCTCTAAACTACAAATAAAAATGTTTTTGAACTAAGGTCTTTACAAGGTTTGCAGAAGTCCTTTCATGATTTAAGAATAGTCAACAATTCAGACGTGAGCACTGATGGTGAAGAGCTGCCAAATGGGAAAGTTCAGGTCTTCAGCTCTATTTTCTCCTAAAACTTGTAAGCCAATACTCAGTGATATATTATAAAAGTGCCAGGAAGCCCATCAGGCATCTGAGGCAGTGGCATCAACTGCCAGAAGACTGGAGACAGAAGAGTTGCAAAGAAGAATGTTGTACTATTCAAAGAAATTATGACATAAGACTATTTTTTTCAATCTGAGTTCTTATGCATAAACCAAATAGAATGAGACTAAAATCCTAGCAACATGAAAGCAAAAACAGGAATTCCACGAGATCGTGCCACTACACTCCAGCCTGGGTGACAGAGCGAAACTCCGTCTCAAAAAACAAACAAACAAACAAAAAACCCCAAAACAGGAATTCCAGATACCTAATAACTTGCAGACAAATGTATAGACTCTTTCTAAATAGAAATCACCCAATTTAATAACTTTAGATGAAGAATTTTATTTATTTATTTATTTGTTTGTTTGTTTGTTTATTTATTTATTTATTTATTTTAAGATGGAGTCTTGCTCTGTTGCCCAGGCTGGAGTGCAGTGGTGTGATCTCGGCTCACTGCAACCTCCACCTCTGGGGTTCAAGTGATTCTCCTGCCTCAGCCTCCCTATAGCTGGGATTACAGTCACCCGCCACCACACCCGGTAATTTTTATATTTTTAGTAGAGATGGAGTTTCTCCATGTTAGTCAGGCTGGTCTTGAACTCTACCTCACGTGATCCACCCGTCTCAGCCTCTCAAAGTGCTGGGATTACAGGCGTGAGTCACTGCGCCTTGCTAGATGAACAAATTTTAGATTCTATATTTTAAACATATAAGCAATATTTTTGTTTTCAGTGTAACGGGGATATTACCTAATATGGAAGAGGAGCAAAGAAACACAGTAAGCCTCATGGAGCGGCAAAGAAATCTAGTTTAATAAAAAGTTCAATGTAAGAAAAGCACGGAGTAAGTTGCTTGTGCACTATTTGTGTGGTATTTTCCTCCAATCATTCTTTCTTATTATTTGCCTTAACACACACTATTAAAGCGTCCTGTATAACCACTTCCTAACTTTATATCTACAAGAATCTAATTTATTGTCATAGTTAAGTACTGCAGTATTAGAATTTATCTTACTGTACAGGATAACAAGCTTAAGATTATACCAATGTTTCTCCTGTATTGACATCATATAGGGCAGCCATCACATCTTCAAAACTACTTAATTTTTAGTGAATGTATCCCCACGCACATCTCTCCTAACACGTTGATTTTACTATTAAGATAGATTGTTCTAGATTAATTAATCTTTTCCATAAGTAGAAATTTTAATAATGCTATCATGTCCTAGGTGACTAAGAATACTTGATCTTGGGTGTATGAAAAAGCACCCAAGAACACCATATTGCCTATTTTCAAAGCTAAATCATGATAACAGAGTTAGTATGAGGAATCCTCTTACCTTGTTTTGGTAATGGACTCTCTTCCTTTGAAATGGTAACACTGCATTTGTGAATACTGTATTGCACTTGAAAAAAGCTGCTTTGTATTATAGTTATTTCTATTCCACATTTCCATATCTTACCAGAAACCCCCTACTGAAAACTTCCTTGAAGTAATAATTTTGATTTTAGCCTCCCATCTCTCAGTTTCTAGTATAATATCTTCTTTAAATATATTCATGCATTCAACAATTGTTCAGTGAGTGCTTACTGTAAGCTGTGCCTTCTGCTAAGCTAAGGGGATATAGCTAAGAACAAAACAGATGTAATCCTTTCCTTACATTACATATGATTAACACTGAGAAAGAAGCATGTAGTGACTTAAGCACTCAGAGTCTGTCCTCAGGCCTGAGTTCAATTCCTGCTTCAACTCCTACAAGTTAGTTTGTCATGCAACTTATTCCTCAGCTTTAGTTTATTCATCTGTAAAAAGATGGATAACTCTCACCCCAGAGATTTGTTGCAAATGCCAAACTGGATTACTTAAGTAAGATTTTAAATACAGTGCTGGGATATATGGAGTTTATAATAAGTGGAAGCTATATATTATTTAATATTTGTTAGCATCTTTTAAAAAATAATGCTATTGATAAACAGTTGTAACAACATGTTTAAGCAGAGATGATACATGGTCATTGGTTAAAATATTTATGGCTTATAATTTGTCTTATTAATGAAAACTCTTCTGCATATCTACTTATTGATTATGGTAAGAGAAAATTTCATAGGATTTTCCGAGAAACACTTCAAAATTTAATTTTGTACTTTGTGAATTTTGCTATGTTTATGCTTAAAAGTTCTCTTACTGCTCCAGGATTAGAAACATCACCACTTATTTTTTCATATTTTCTACAAAAATTTTTATTTGGTAAATTTTATTCCTTATGTTACCTTAAATTTACATTAAGTTAAAGTGTAAGATAAGGATCCAATTTAAGAATTATTTTCCAAAAGGCCAATTAATCCAAAATTATTTAGCAATATTACATCTGTTTATGTAATGTTTGTAAGATATTCATGATCATATAGCAAATTTTATATCTACTAGACATTAGAATTATATTGTTACTTATATTATGATATCCGTATGCTATTAGTATATAGACAAACAACTTATTTCTTTCATTGTGAACATCCCTGCTTTTTGGTCTTTTTTTATTTTTAATTTTTTTTTTTACTCTAAAAAGTCCCAATGACCTTTCAAGGTAGCTCTTAGCATGTTAAACAAATATATTTTAAAACTATAACAGGAAGTACCACAGTAATTTCAGATTCACATATCTCATTCATTAATTTTAAAATACTATCCATCTCTTAGCCTGCTGATGGACATCTTCTAAGTAAAAGTTTCAAAGCAAGTATCCATGGGCAGTTTATGTTCTAAATTCTGCATATCTGAGCAGGGAGGTCAGTGTTATACCAGCACATAAATTAGGTTGTACTCGGTTAAAATATCCTTAGATGACATATTTTTCTCTCAAAACTTTATCTCATTATGACATCATATTCTGGCACTCTGAGTTAAGTAGAATTGGAAACAGTGTAAATTTTTTACGTTTTGCCCATGTGGTTGTCAATTTTTTTCTTTAAAACTTGAAATTCAACAATTTTGCCAGTTTTATTCTAAGTTACTTTGTTTTTAATTTTGCGTGGCACTTAGTGAACACTTTTGACCCGTATATTCAAGTAATGTCTTTTGTTGCCGTTATGTTTTCTTGTTTGTTTTTAACTATGCAAAGTATTCTCCTCTAAATAATGATTAGCTTCAATTGCTTTGATTTATTCCCAGTGGAAGCTAATGATTTATATATTTTGACTTTTTGTTTTCTCTCCTCTATAGCATCTCTTATTATTGTTATTATATATTTTCTTGGTGTTTTTAGAGAACTGTCTACTTTATTAGTGATTTCATTTTCTACAATGTCAATTATGTTGCTCGCTACAGCCGAAGCCAATTTTAATTTTTCCACTGTGATATCTTCTGTCTCGCATTCTTTTATGTTTGTGCTGGCAGTGTTTATAGTTCAACACTCTTCTTTTTCTTTTATTTTCTCATTTATACTTATTTTACATATTTATGATAAATAGTTTTTTCTTACATGAAAAACTGCAGTCATTCGCTCAACTTTGATGTTTAAAAAATCATTGAAAAACGTAAAAATCTCACACTGTTAATGTTTGCAAAGGGCATTATTCCCTTGGACAGATATTACTGTCTGTCTTGGTGTTCTCAGAATCTCACAAACATTTGGGCTGCACCCCAGCCCCAACCCTGGCCCCGCTGCTGATATGTAGCTTTTTGAGACACATTCCATCATCAAGTAAACATTTAAACAGCTCAATTCCACAAAAATTAGGCAGAAATTACCCTGCTGCTGTTGTCCAGCATTTTTTTTTTTTTTTTTTTGAGACGGAGTCTTGCCCTGTTGCCCAGGCTGGAGTGCAATAGTGCGATCTCAGCTCACTGCAACATCTGCCTCCCAGGTTCAAACGATTCTCCTGCCTCAGCCTCCCGAGTAGTATTACAGGCACCTGCCACCACGCCCAGCTAATTTTTGTATTTTTAGTAGAGACGGGGGTTTCACCATGTTGCCAGGTTGGTCTCGAACTTCTGACCTCGTGATTGGTCTGCCTCACCCTCCCAAAGTGCTGGATTACAGGTGTGAGGCACCATGCCCAGCCATCCTGCATTTTTGATATTACCAGATGAATTATTTCCTAGATAATTTTAAGCATTCTGTAAATCCTCAGAATGGATCCTTTCAGGGTGTGCAGTTTACTAATACCTATTTCCTACTTTATGTCTAAGGCTGTAATCCTCCTTAAACCCAATCAACTTTCAGTCCTGTACGGAAAGAAGTTGTGGACTTCCATAGAGTAGAGATGGAGAGTCCAGAATGACAAGATGAGGAGAAGGCAGTTTTGGCCAGCTCTAAAATAATGACCAAGAATTAAGAGAGAACTCAAGCTTTCTCACTGGTGCCTTGGACAACAGTCTTTATTGGATACTGTTTTGAAGGATAAAATCTTTTTTGAAGCTTCCTCTCTATATTACAGCATTTCTATTTTAGATATTCAAACATGGATTAGCCTCCTGTCACTTATTAAACTGGCCTATGTAATCTTTCAGCCCTGAGATTTTAAAATATTTTATTAGTCTTCTTGGTTTCATTGGCTGTCATAACTTATTTTTCTGCATTATCATGGCTATTTTAAAGGTCTGGCACAGTTAAGTAGCTATCATCCCAACCGGAAAGTTACACCATTACTTCCTAACATGAATTTCAAAGTGTTTAATTATAGTTGGTAATGATCTCGACTGCCTGTTGATACATTCGCCTTAAAATGATTAAGATTTATCATGATATTAAAAACTTTCAAATAATGAAAAATGTAATGCAATCACCTTTCAGAAAATTTCACATGAATTGAATAGCTGATGACATGCCTTTAAAAAAAACTCTGAGAAATCATTTTTCTTGAACTTTGAAGAAGTGTAACTTGAAAGAAAAGTAGACTTTTGTTTTACAATTCATATTTTGATGATTATGGAACAAATTTTGTGCAACTATATAGAAAAATATGAAATTCCAATTTAGAATTCCATCATGAAACGACACCATTCTAATTTCCACAGGCCATGGTTTGTTAATATTCCACAAAGTCCCAGGATGCAACTATAAGGCTGCATTCAAATCTATGAACATGAGGCAATCGTGCTCAGCAGAGTATAACAATAATTATAATAGAGATTAAATAAAAATAATTAGAAAAAGTTCATCTAGTTTTGATGTATTAATTATTCTGACCCTGTTCTATTCAGAGTCTAATTATCTGGTTCAGTGAAAATGCCAAGATTTCTACGACTCATAAAAATTACATTCAAGTAATTATGTCAGCAAACTAAACAGTATTCATTTACCATGCCTCTTTATGCACACATTTGAATATGCTTTTTTAACTGTTTTTGCTCTTTGTTCCTATTCATGGGAAATAATACCTGTAGAGAAATTTGAAAGTCAGTTACACTCCGAGTGCAATGTGCAATTCTTGCTGATATTCTCCTTTTGTAAGACTGCTGTAAGTCTCATATAACCTTTGTTTAAAAAACATGAATTAAAGTTCACTCTTCAGTTGCTTCAAAGAAATCTTTAAAACCTGTAGCTGTAGTTTTGAAAAAAAAGTTTAAAGCAGTCATACAAAGCATCTCATAGAAAGTTTCTTACCTTGGGTAACTCAGAAGCTGACTAAATAGGTCTCTGCAGTTACTTCTGCTACCCATATTTCCCATAGGGACATAAGACATCCTATAAAAGAGCCTGGATTTAGAAATATATGTGTGTGTGTATGTATTTCTAAATCTATGTATATATGTATGTATTTCTAAATCTAATTAATAAATAATTTCTATGTTATTCAGATATATATTACATATATACTATACTATGTATTTATGTGTATAAATGTGTATAGTATATACACATATATGCATATATAAATACAAATACACATATGTGTATATGCAATGTAAATATATATATTTAGAAATACGTATATATATAAATGTATATACACATATGTATGTACATGATATTTTAAAACTCTCCAGCAAGGTAAGGACATATCTGAAGATTTCAAATCACTGAAAATTTCTAAGCAATGAGAATTTTTACATTCTTAAGGCCCATTTAGGACCTTCTTAATGCTAAAAAGTAAGTAACTTCATGTAACAAAGAGTTATACTGTTGAAGAATTCAGTATCTATTACACCGCTTATGATCTCTTTTATTATTTTTAGTAAGGAATTTTTCTGATGGGCATGTTAAGTAAAAGTATATTGCCTGAAGTATTAGCATTATTGCTTTGCGTCTGTTTTCTTCTCTGTGTGGATAGACAGACACAAACTTAGTTGAAATTACAACTTCTAATTATATTCACATTGAGAAGACTACATTAACAGTTAATTTTTAAACAACTTCCTTGGTGTGCTAGTAATAAGATATATTTACATGCACACACAAATATGTATATAGCCATAGCATATTCATTAACAGAGAAACTATTTTGTTCTTGATAAAACTGTATTTTATCTTTCAGGTGCTACAAACAAGTTCCAAACTTTATTGGACAGGGGAAGAAGTAGAAGAAACAAGAAGTATTATTAAAATGAATGGAGTTAAAATGGGACAGAGGTGAGAAGAAGGAGCTAGAAAACTTTAAATAAAATGCACCTACAGCTAAGGAAATAGACAAGCCTTTCTGATGGCTCTCATGGCTCTGCGTTTACATACTACAGATTCCTCCTGGATGAAACAGAAGCCGGGCTGCTGATGCAGCTGGAGGAGGAAGCGAGAGGTTCCAACGGCATGACTCCTTGGCATTTCACACATCCATAGAAATAACCCATCTATGATTTCCACAAGACAATTTTTTCTTAGTCCCCACTTTTCAGTGTATGCTCAAACACAATGCAGAATCCCAAGAAACTGTGAAACTTTTCTGAGAAAATGTTCTGATTTGAATTAGTTAGCTGTATTCTGCATTCAGCACATTTACAAGCTTTGAAATATCGGACATTGGCAAGCAAGCACTAACATTTTATAAGTAGCAGTTTGCATCCAGGTTTGAGGTAATGTAATCCAACATGCACGAGAACACAGTCTAGGTCCCCTTCTCCCTTCTAAGCATAGCAGAAGGATTAGGAATAATGAATGGTGTGAATTTTGCCACCTAGAGGGTTTCATTTTGATACCTGTTACACAGTCCTCTTGAGCACTGTGCTCATTTTTCCTATTGCTGAGATATGGAAAATAAAACAGTAATAGGAACGTGCACTGACAACACACCATGTCAATGCCCTAAAACGCAAAGTCTTGGAGAGGGTTCCATAATGGCTTCAGTAGAAGCATAGCTCATTCCCTGCTTTGCTAATCAATTTTCTGCATGCCATGTTCTCCCCGTTATACCTCATCCCTTAGGCTACTCTTGTAGCCCAAGTCAACCACACAGGTGATATACACCGGTGGAATAGGTCAGGGCAATTTCTTGAGGCACTGGAGGGGGAAAACCTGGGGTCTCTCCTCAGCCCTCCAATGTGTCCATAATGCTCCTCATGTGCCACAGGCTCCGTGCCACCATGGAATTTGATCTGGAAGTCTAGAGCCCTTTTCAGGGAGTTGTTTAAGCCTTTAGTCCTTGTTTCTTCACTCTTAGTGTAATTCTGTGTCATTTTAGAGCCAGAAACACTGTTGTAACAGTCAAATGTAGTAATTAAGACTGTAGTATCAGATCACTGGCTTTTCAATCTTTTTCTAAAAGGCTCTATGATCTCAGGCAAATTTACTGAACTCTTCTTGCTGTAATATGGGGAGACAGTGGCCCTCACTTCATAGATTGTAGTGAGATTAAATAAGTTAATATATGTAAAGCTTTAATAAAGTACTTAGCAAATAGTATATACAGTACTATGCAAGTTTTAGCTATAAAATGACAATAACATTTCACATAAAAAGGTTACTATTAATTGTTACTACCATTTCCTAATTATTGATTTATGTAATAAGCTATGCCCCAAACCTACCAGGTTTAACTCTTGGTATTCAGTGTGAACTGAATTATATTCCCCTCAAATTCATTTATTGAAACACTAATGTGCTGGCATTAGAAGGCAAGGCATTTGGGAGGTAATTAGGTCATGAAGGTAGAATCCTCATGATGGGATTAATGCCCTTATTAGAACAGACTGAAGAGAAATTTTACTCTGCCATGAGAGACACATAAAAAAAAAAAAAAAAGATGAAGTCTACAAGCCAGGAAGCAAGCTCCCACCAAGAACTGAATCAGCCAGCACCTTGTTCTTGAATTTCCCAGCCTCCAGAACTGTGAGAAATAAATATTAGTAGTTCAAGTCACCCAGACGGTGATATTTTTTGATATTTTGTGACAGCAGCCCATACAAACCAAGGCTATCTTCAAGCAAACAATTTAGAAGTTCACAATTTTTTTTCTGTCAAATATGTGGTGTTCGCAAATTGAAAGCATCTTGGATTTCAGGTTAGTATCCCTAGTACATATTTTAAAACTTATTTAGAGATTCAATTGACTTATTTTATTTGAGTCTATGTCCACCTTTCTCCTGAGGCAGAGAATGCCTCTGCCACAGGTCTCAAAATCCTCTGGTTAACACAAAAATTACAGAAAATGCAAAATTCCAGCCTAGGAATTAAACACTCTCATGTGTAAATTTGTGTAATGTAGAAGTTTAATAGCAAAGAAAGAGAAATTGTTATACCTATCAATCAAGCAGGAGCTTCTCCTTAAAATCTTTCAACATGAATCACATGGCTTAGCAGGGGTAAAATATTTTAGGAGCCTCCTCCTAGAGGATCTCACTCAATCTTACTCCCTTGTAGAACAGGCGATATCTTCACCATGCGCACAATGAAATCAATACTCAGAGAAGGCAGATAATTCTCCACGAAGCCAGAAAACTAATAAATGAACAGTAAGTAACAACACAATCAAATACCCTCTTCATATAGATCACTCATTTTAGAATTTTGAAATTGAATCATGCACTGTGTAACTGTGCAGTGGAATGCTTTCTTTTTGTTTTTTTTTCTTGATTCTCAATATAAGAAGCTTATAAATTTGTCTTTTTAATGGTTGGGATCATATCTAATAAATTTAATGGTTGGGATCATATCTAATGAATTGGCTGTACTAATGTGGAAGCTCTGTAGACTCAATAATGATTGATCTGTTTTCCTCCGCTCTATGAACTGCTGCCCAGAGGGTGCTCATGGCATTATCCACATGCATCCCTGTGCATCTAAATTCCTGAAGGAATGTGTATTCTAAGGCAAAATTCATAATGGTAATGTTGAAGAAATAAAAAGTAGCATATAAAAACTCTGAGTATAATTATTTAAAAAATTTTATTAGTTCAGGTCAAAAATTTCAGGAATAAGGTCATATTAAAACTTTGCATGGAAAAATTAACTTTAATTTGTACTAAGCCTTAGAGTTAAGTTTTAATAATTTCTATAAGGAAGAGCAGAACGAACCAAGATGAAAGTATCGTTTATGTGCTAGCACGTTTTTGTTATCCCAAAATAATTAGCAGAAGTAGATAAATTAGTTTAAGCTTTTACAGATCACTGTTCTAACATAAAGATGTACACCTGACTCATATAGAAATAAGGGATTCACTTTGTTCAGCTTTCTGGCAATGGGGGTTGGTGGGAGGCCCAATTTACATTGTGGAAGACGAGTAGCTTTAAAAAAGAAAAGTCAGGAAATGTCCAAACTTAATAGATACTATGGTAATGAGTATAAAGCACAGCAGAGGGAAGATAATAATAAACGTGTAATTGGCATCTGTGAAGAGAACATTATGACATTTTATTACTGGAAAATTGCATACCAAAATCTCTAGAAACATTGGCCATCACATCTTTGAAAACCACAAGCAAGTATATTTCATATGTGAATAAATCCATATACTCAGAACCACAGTTTTATGGTACTTAAGATGGATCTTTTGATATTGTAATGATGAAATAGGTCTCTCGAGGAAAGATGAAAAGGTAAAGCCAAGGCTTGTTTAAAAGATCAAAAAGAGAGATGCTGTGAATGCTCTCAGCAAATATGATGCTCTCTTTATCTGGATGCATTCCTGTTCTAAAGATAAATGGATATTTCTCAATAAAAATATAGAATCTTAACATTTTTGAAGTGTTGAGGAAAAACAAAGTGACAACAAAGTAAAGATATCTGAAGATAACAACAGTTCCTTGATTTCTTAAACAGTGCAAAGAAGTTAAAGTAGAAGGAAGTTAGGCCTTTGCACATTTAAATTTCATCAGGGCATCTTATAAAACTTTGGCAATTTTATTAGATCTTGGATTCCTCACCTAAAAATATTAATGTATGTACTAAACTAACTTTAAGTTCTCTTCATGCTCTTTATTATAAAAATATAGTACATTAACTTGGAGTACATCTTAGGGACATCTTGAAAACCATATTTTAAAAAATAATCTCTAATGGAGAAAGAAAGGTGTCTCTCTCTGACAATACAGGTGAAATTTGTAAGCTACTTTAGGCAAGTTCCTTCCTCACTTTTCCAAAGGAATGCATTTTGATTTTACAAAATGCTGTATAATCTTAAAATATTTTCATAGATATTTCCTATATGAATAGAATATTTTTTCCAATAAAAATGTGAAGGAAATGGTGAACCACAGCTATCAATTTCTCTCTGAATACTATCTTTTAATTATACCTTGCTTTCAGCTCCTCCTTAGTAAGACAGATGTGAACTTATTAAGCTGGAAACTGATCCCGAAGTATAAACTAATGTTTTGATGCAGTTAAAGGTTGTAGATAATTCTCAGCTGGGGGGAAATAAGACTGAACCTCCCCCAACCTCCCAGAAGTTACAGTATTTTACAACTCAACTAAGTCACCAATCATAGCAGGTGCCTTAAATGATTGAATAAATTAGCTCCGTTTACTTTCTCCTAGTAAATCAATTCAAAACAGCTTGATTTTGTACTGTTAGAAAAGTTGATGTGTCTGGGGCCGGGCGCGGTGGCTCACGCCTGTAATCCCAGCACTTCGGGAGGCCGAGGCGGGCGGATCACGAGGTCAGGAGATCGAGACCATCCTGGCTAACACGGTGAAACCCCATCTCTACTAAAAATACAAAAAATTAGCCGGGCGTGCTGGCGGGCGCCTGTAGTCCCAGCCACTCCAGAGGCTGAGGCAGGAGAATGGCGTGAACCCGTGAGGCGGAGCTTGCAGTGAGCCGAGATCGCGCCACTGCACTCCAGCCTGGGAGACAGAGCGAGACTCCGTCTCAAAAAAAAAAAAAAAGAAAAGAAAAGTTTATGTATCTGGAATACCAACAAACAACTAGCAAAAATATTACTTGAAATATTTAAAGTCAGACATCCTCAGCTTATTTTGTGTTCTAGATGAAATAATTTCATCTTGTACATAAATGAAAGCAAATGGAATATATATCTCCTTTGGTCTGATTTTTAAAAATACTAAATATGTAAATATAGAGGAAAGTGTTAAATACCAAGTACTAGCTCACACTTAAGCACACATGATCCAAATTTAACAAATGGAAGCACTTTATCCCATTTGTGAGTATTTTTTTTTAAGAAATCGAACAGCCAAAGACCCAAATTAAGGATCTCTGTCTATACTATTTCATACCTCCAAGATGTAACCATGACAATGCAGTTGATGTTTATCTTCAACAGTTTATACTTTTGTTTTATATGTGTAAATACATAATATACAGTATTTCAGTTTGTTTTAAAAATTAAAGTAAGCCATACGATGAATGTTTTTATAACTTGTTTTTTATTCAATATACCATTTTGAATATGTATACATGTTTGTTAATATATACAAGACTCATTAATTTTAACTGCTTTATTACAATATAGCCAGGCATGGTAGCTCATGCCTGTAATTCCAATGATTTAGGAGACCAAGTTGGGAGGATTGCTTGAGCCCAGGAGTTCAAGACCAGTCTGGGCCACATAGGGAGATCTTCGTCTTTACACATAATAATAATAAAACAAAATTAGCTGGGTGTGATGGCGAGCACCTGTAGTCCTAGCTAATTGGGAGGCTGAGGCAGGAGGATCACTTGAGCCCAGAAGTTTGAGGTCACAGTGACTCCGTCTTTACAAAAAATAATAATAAAAAAAATTAGCTGGGTTCGATGGCAAGCGCCTGTAGTCCTACCTAATTGGGAGGCTGAGGCGGTAGGATCACTTGAGCCCAGAAGTTTCAGGTTACATTGAACTATGATTGTGCCACAGCACTCCAGCCTGGGTGACGTAGCAAGATTGTGTCTCTAAAACAATTTCTTAAAGAACAAAGAATACACCCCAATTAATTTTTTTACTCCTTCTCTATTAATATAGTTTGATGTTTTCTGCAGTTTTTCTGGCTTACAAACAATAATGCTTCGAACATAATAGCACATTTATCATTATATGGATGTAAAAATTGTTCTTCAGGATATAGACCTGACATACTTATCATTTTTTTTGTTATGAGAATATTTAAAACCTATTCTCAGCAACTTTAGAGTATAAAGTAAATTAACATTAGCCATTGGCATCATGTACAATAAATGTCCAGGATGTATTCCTCCTATCTAATGAAACTTTGCATCTTTTGACCAACACCTCAATCACCCCGTCCCTGGCAACCATGATTCTACTTCTATTAGTTCAACTATTTTAGACTTCACATCTAAGTGAGATCATGCAGTATTTGTCTTTCTGTGCTAGCTTATTTCATTTATCATAGTGGTTCTCTAGGTTCACTCATGTTGTTGCAAATGATGGGATTTCTTTCTTGGTTAAGGCTTTCTTTCCTTAATTTTTATTCTCAGACAGTAAGTTTAAACATTTACATGAGTTAGAAATAATTCCCTCATTCCCTCCTTTCTGTAAAAATTTGTGTAAGATTGGTATTATGCATTCCATAAATGTTTAACAGAATTCAACAGTGAAAGCATTTGGACCTGGACATTTGTTTTCTTTCACTTTTTGTGAGCACCATTTTTTTAAAATAAAAAATCAATTTCTTTAATGGTCATATATAAAAGTATAACTAAAATTTTCTACTTCATTTGTGATCATTTTGGTAAATGGTATATCCTACCTACATTTTGAAATGTATTAGCATAAAATTGTGTGTATTGCCTTTTTATCTTTTAATGTCTAATTTCTGTGGCGATGTTCTGTCTTTTATTCCCAAGACTGGAGATTTGTGTTTTCTCTGTTATTTGACTCATCAGTCTGATAAGAGGTTAACAAATTTTTCTAATTTTTTCAATCCATCAATTTCTGCTTCACTATTTTGGTCTACTGTTTGTTTTGTATTTCAGTCTTGCTCTGTTTTTTTTTTTTTAATTTTCTTTCACTTACTTTCAGGTCGGTCATGTTTCCTTGCTTCTTAACGTGGAAACAAGATGATTAAGTTGAAACTTTCCTTCTTTTATATTATAAGCATTTAAAGATACAAGTTTTCTTCTACATACCACTTAAGCTGCATTTCATATGTTTTGGTATCTTGTATTTTTATTATAATTCAGTTCAAAACATTTTCTAATATCACTTCTATTTTTTTCCTTGACTTATGCATTAGTTAGAAATACTTTATTCACCTTCCAAATGTTTGAGAATTTTATAAATATCTCTTTCTCATTGCCTTTTTATTAATTCCATTGTAGTCAGATAACATTATCTGTAAGCATTCAATCTTTGGAAATTTATTGTGACTTGTTTTACAGCCAACCATATGGTCTAAATTCGTGAACATTTCATCGGCATCAGAAAAGAATGTGTATTCTGCAGTTGTTTCGTTTAGTGTCTAATAAATTTCAGTTAGGCTGAGGTGGTTAACAATGTGGCTTAGATATTCTGTATTCTTACTGACTTTTTATCTCATTCTACAAATTATTGAAATAAAGGTGTTAAAATCTTTATTATCAGTTTGGATTTGTCTATCACTCTAATTCTCTCCATTTTTGCCTTGTGTATTTTGTAGCTTTATTACTAGTTACTTCCATGTTTAAGATAGTTATGCTAACAAGCGATATCTTTCATTCTTATTAAATGTTCCTTTTTATCTCCCATTTTAGTCTTCATCTTAAAGCAACATTTTTTTCTGATATTAATAGAAGCACTTTCATTTTCTTTTGTTTGCTATTTGAAGAAGATTTTTTCCATTCAATCTATCTGTGACTTATATTAAAAGTGAATTTCTTCTACAAACATTACAGCAGATTCTTGTTCTTTTTTAACATCTCACCTAACACTCTAACTTCTAATGGTGGTTTTTGGTCCAGATATACTTATTAATTATTGGCATATTTGTTCTAAATCTACCAATTTGTTATTTTTTTCTCTTTTTTTTCCCTCTATTCCTTTATTCTTACCATCTTCTAGATTAATTTAAAGAAAAATTTCATTTAAATAATGTATTGGCTTTTAAATCACATGAGTGTGCTCTAATTTTTACAGGTTGATTCCATTATTACCATCCCTGCAATACCACTCCTTAACACCTTTCTACTTAGACATGAAAATCTATGGCTTTACCAAAAAAGTAAGTTCCTTACCCCTAAATAGTGACCTTTACTCTCTTCCTTTGGGTGATTGTTATCATATAAGTTATACTTAAGTAAGTTATAAACCTACCATACAGTGCTATGGTTTCTATTTAAACAATCATATGTCTTTTAAGAAAATTAAGAGAAGGAGAATATACAGTCTTTGTATTGACCTGTATGCTTCTCATTTTTGTTCTTTTTGTTCCTTTCTATAATTCTGGATTTCCATCTTGTTTAATAGCCCTCAGCCTGAGGGATATCAGCATTTCTTGTGCTATGGATCTTCTAGCAACATATAATTTCATCTTTTATGCATATCCAGAAATTGTTGCTTTGCTTTGATTTTTGTTTTGTAGTTTCACTCTGTGTAGAATTTCTGGTTACCGTTTTTTTCTTCCCAGCATTTTGAGATATTGATCCAGTGAGTTCTGTCATGCATTTGCCTGTAAGTAATGTGTTTTCTTTTACTCTTGGTGTTTTTAAAATATTTTCTTAATCTTTGATTTTCAGTATTTCTACTAGAATATGCCTAAGTGTAGTTGTGTTTGCATTTATCTTGTTCTGTTAGCTGTGCTCCTTGGAACTTAATGTTTGAGAGACTTTTGATTATTATTTTGTCAAAAATATCATCTGCCATATTCTATTTCTCCTCTTCTTCTGGGATTTCGAATATTAGCTATTGTCCAATAGCTAACCAAAGCTCTTTTTATATTTTTGAAATCTTTTCTCTCTCTGTTTTTAGAATAGTATGTATTTTGAAAATCCACTGACTCACTACATTCTTCTGTTGTCTATTCTATAAGTTTTTTATTTCAGATATTGTAATTTTCCATCCAGGACTTTCTCATTTTAATACCTTTGAGTTGTCAGCTGAGATTTCTCATATGTTCCATCATTATGATGATATGTTTTAGCTGGGTGCAGTGGCTCATGCCTGTAATCCCTGCACTTTGAGAGGCTGAATGGGAAGGATTGCTTGAGCCTGGGAATTTGAGACCAGCCTGGGCAACATAGCAAGACTTTGTCTCTACGAAAATAAAATATTTTTATTTGATACAATGAACTTTTCTGCTAATTATGAGATTTGTCTCATCTTGGGGTCTATTTTTATTGACTAGATTTTCTTCCCTGACTAGTGTCACATTTGCATACCTCGAAAATTGTATCACATTAAAGATTTTAGCTAATATGTTATAAAGATTCCTCTGAATTCTGTTTTCTTCCTTTTAAGAATGATGATTTTTTTTTTCTTCTAGCAGGCTGTTAACATATTTGTAGTCAAACTCCAAATCTATTTCCTGTTTTGGGCCGCAGCTAAAAGCTCTGCTCAGTTCTGTTAAACCTCCAGCTTTTGGTGTCTGCCAGGCCTTGGGCTCCCCCTGAGGGGTGCACAATTAGGTTTCTAGTTTATTTGAAGATTTGGGGTTTCTCTTTCTGTGTCTCTCTCTTTTCCATTGTCTTAGTCCATTTGTGTTGCTATAAAGGAATACCTGAGGCTGGACAATTTATAAAGAAAACAGGGTTATTTGGCTCTTGGCTCCACAGGCTATACCAGAACCCTGACATCACTATCACCTTGGTGAGGGCTTCAGGCTGCTTCCACTCTTGGTGGAAGAGGAACGGGGTTGGGGGGGCGGGGGTCAGTGTGTACAGAGATCCCATGGTTAGAGGGGAAGGAAGGGGGTGGTGCCAGACTCTTTTTAATAAGCAGTTCCTGTGGGAACTAATACAGTGAGAACAGCACCAAGCCATTCCTGGGGGATCTTCTCCCAGGACCCAATATCTCCCACCAGGCCACACTTCCAACATTAAGATCAAATTTCAACATGAGATTTGAAGGGTCATATATTCAAACTACAGCATCAATGTATTACCCCTTCCTCACCACCCCCCACCATCACACTAACTTCCAAGCACTTTTCAGTCCTGAACTCTGTTCTTTGAATCCACAAACCCTTAAGAATGCCAGTTTCTGATTTAGCTCTAGTCATCAAGTTATGATCTGGCAGTACCCTAAGATGGAAAGCACTATAAACCAATATCTCCTACAATACATTCTCTTTCCTCTAAGGGTCAATCATTCCTTCTCTCTTTGGTCACTCCCTAGTGTCTTCAACACTGACTTTTATACTCTGTGTAGAGGTTATACTTGTTGTCTGTGGGGTAGTCCTAAAAGTTTTAGTAGACGCAAGTTACTCTGCCCTGACCAGAAGGGACTCTTACTTGTCTATACTAGTTTAAACAACTGTGGGGTCCCCACTCAGAGTAGTCACAAGCCCAGCTCACAAAGACCCATCTTTGTTTGTTCTTGGTGAGTTATACAATGAAAGGGCCAATGTCTCACTGTAAAACTATTTATATGTCTATTAAAATAGCAAGGATAGAGCCTATCTAAGGATCTGCTTTGTGGGTGGAATTTAAACTTACATCTCAGTAGAATTGACAAACACAGGGTATCCAGGGGAAAGTAGCCTGAGGGTTGCTCTTTTATACTAAAGTATTTGTTGATTCAGTCAGTGACCTAAAGCCAGGACTCATTTTCTTACATCATAAAATGAGAGACATTAATACACACTTTCACCCAAAAGGATACTATGTATAGATTTATGTTAGGTCAAAAATATTTGAATTTCTCTAAGAAAAATACTATGTAAATAGAGGATCTATCTTATAAAAGAAATCACTTTTTCCATCTTCCAAACAACTCCCACAATGTCCTTCCTACTGATGCATAACTGGTATTTAATAACAAACTATTTGCATTTTAAATTACTTTGTGTGCACTGGATGTTTACTCTGATCTGATCATAAGAAGTATTTTGCCTTGAGGAGGAGTTATGCTGCAGACAAAATTAACTCTCGATTAAAAATTCTACATAATCTTTAAAAAAATCAAGAAAATTTGTTAACAATATTGTATTTATTTTTCATCGTACAGTAGAAAATTAATACATAATTTTCTTTTAGTTTTTAAAATATATTCTACCACTGGCTTAAACCAAAGATTCCATTTCCTTTTTATACATTATTAATTATTACATTGAAATCAGAGTATTTCTATGACCATGAACATAGAGGATTTGATAGGTCAATTAGAATTAATCTACTTCTTATCATGCTGTCACAACACCACAATAATTAGAGTTTATAATTACTGTTAGGTCCCAGTCTACCCTGCTGCTACTTCTTCCCAAATAATTATTAATGGTACCCCATTTCATTACCCAAATTTTCTCTGTGTGAACAATACAATTTTTAGTTGTAAGTTATAACCAAAGGTTTCCCCACTTACAATATCTTGCTTATCCATTTATGATACCAGTGTACGTAAAGTCAAACTATCAGTATTCTTTTATATATTTTATTAGATTCTGGAAAGAGGTACTATTATTTTTGCATTATGAAAATTGTTTCTTATTGTAGATGTGATAACATAATGCAAAATATGTTAGAATTACAAATGGATATATTTAAATAAGTGTACGGTAATTTTATAAATATTATAAAATAAAGCATTTTTATGACAGAAATAACAAACGTGTTAATATTTGAGTAAATGTTAAAGAGTCGATAATTCAAAAATAATCAAGAAATGGCATATACCTGGCATATTCTTCAGAATATGAAGATTAAGTAAACTAGTGCGGTTCAACCTCTTGACTTATTTATTCATTTACAGAGTTAACATGCAAACTAATATAAATTCAAGTCATAACCTGGAGCAGAAGAGTATCATATTCAATATTACTTACATTTTTAATTAATTTTGATATGCTTTATATTAACTTTGAAGAGAAATATATGCTATTCATCAGTAATGTCACTATAGCTTTACTATGTAACTAATAAGTGATCAGATGTCTTTTAAGATAAACATTTTAAACCAGTTCTGCTGTGCAGCATGGCACACAGAGCTGTCTCTTCCTTTAGACAATGAAACACAGTATCTGTTTTTGTATGTTTAAGATTTTGCTGAAAGAAAAAAAAATTAGACACATATAATCTTTAAAAAAGTATTCTGTCTTTTGATGAAAAATTAACACTCATTTGCGGTAAGGCCATGATCTGCATTCCTTGTGGAATCTCAGGTGAAGGCATGCCCTTCTTAGGCAGGTGCAAATATACCCAAGCTGATGACCATATTTTGGGGACAGATAAAATTACAAGTCAAAACACAAATACAGGTTTTTTTGGTGATATACTCATTATCCACAGTTAGAAAAAATGTCTACATACTTGGGTTGCAATGCCTTCATTTCAATTAATTTTTTAAAAATATACTGTGCACAGTTATTTTGAAAGTCCATGTGCTGGACACAGCAGAGAATCAAAAGTTAGAGCCTGTCCTCAAGGAGTTTTGTTTTTTTTCTAATAGTTACAGAATAAGCCAGAAGTTAATAAGAGCCAGGAAAAAGGTCCACAGTGTTTTCAGAGATACAAAGTTAGCTTTCTGAGAAGGAAATGAATATGTCTCAAATGACACCAGAAAAGTAATTTAGAACTGTATTTAGGAAGAGCTTGCTAAAACTTGGAAGGGATATGTGAATGAATTCAACAGTTCTGGGGATTTATTAAACAAAATTTAAGCTGAGAATTGGTATCATATGTCTCTGATTGAATTTCAATATTCAATCTCAGTGGTTCTAACGTTACTAATTTCTTTAACTGAAGGTTTTTAGCAGTATGCTATTCAATGCTTTTGATTCCAGACCTATTAAAACTCAAAGCAAAAGTATGCTGTATTATGAACTAAAATGTTAGTAACAGAAAGCATTCATTTAAGCTGAATGGAAAAAGATTTTAAATACATTTTTTGGTCCAGTGGCTACACTAATAATAACAGATAATCAGTGAGTACAACAGCAAAGGTCTTTAAAAAAAACTGCACAAGTCTATAATCTTTTATCTGAGACAGAAACCCAGCTTTTCAGTCTCTTATAACAAAAGACAATTCCACTGAATTTACAGTTGAGTGTCATTCCTACTGCTATTATTGATTTTCATAGTATACCAAAATAAGTCCTGCAAGTATCTATAATTTATTTCCTGATCTCAGAACTAGTTATTATTAGTTTCTCACTTAAAAGTTTAAAATGAAATGCAACATTTTTATTATTAATTATAGTGTTTGTACCTGAATGTTTTTCTGCATAATTTATGTGTTCAGGCTAATCTTTCCTGTAGCATATTGGTTCACCAGAATGTAAGTTAACTCTCCTGTGAAAAAAGTTTCACTGTCAAATTACTTTGGGAAATTTAACACTAAATACTTTCTTTTAACTTCAGATAACTAAAATTTGAGTTATTGCTCATTGTAAATTTCCAATAAGGGATAAAATATATAACCTTTTATTAACCTACTCAATCAGACGTTTTTGCATATGTAAAAGCACATACACATATGTATATTTAAAAATATTCACCAAAAATATTTTAGCATAATGTGACATATAGATAGAGAGGAATCTTGCATGAATTTCTAATTATTCTCTGATAGCAAATTTTGATTTTTGCCAAATTATCTTGGTCCTGCCCTAAACTAAGCCTGTTGTTCTGTCTAAGCTACAGTGGTCTTGGGAGAAAGTATTTGGGTACAATTTATACAGAAACAGGGCTTGGGAAGAAACTAAAGGTCAGAAAAAAGAAATGACTTTTTTCCTCATTTCCCATCTCTCCTCCTCCTTAGAAAATCCAGTACAGCAAAAACATTGCCTTCCCTTTATGCTAATGGGTAAAAATATATACCATTGGTTTCCAATACTGACTGCCCATCTGTGTCTCTTGGAGAGGTTAAAAAGCACGAATAACCAGACCACATCCCATGCAAAAAAAAAGTCAGTGTCTCTGGGTATGGGGCTCTGGCATTGTTTTTCTTTCTTTCTTTGTTTTGAGCAGTCTGTCGCCCAGGCTGGAGTTCAGTGACACAATCTCGGCTCACTGCAACTTCCGCCTCCCGGGTTCATGCGATTCTCCTGCCTCAACCTCCTCAGTAGCTGGGATTACAGGCACACGCCACCACGCCCAGCTACTTTTTTTGTATTTTTAGTAGAGATGGGGTTTCGCCATGTTGGCCAGGCAGGTCTTGAACTCCTGACCTCAGGTGATCTGCCTGCCTCGGCCTCCCAAAGTGCTGGGATCACAGGGGTGAGCTGCCGTGCCCTGCCTGGCATTGTTTTATTGTATGTCTTTCCTCTTTAGGGAGGACAGGTGATAAAAATGTCCAGACACAAATGGCAAGCACGGGTGTAAACATACACGGAGACTGAGTCAGAAAGTCACTATTCTGGACTCGTGATTGCTGTTATTTGAATCAGCAATTTTCCAATGAGACACTTGTGAAGAAATCTTCTTCCATTGCTCTTGGCCTTCATTAATTGCTTTTCCTACCAGACTTCTACTGCAATCACGTATTTTTGACATCCTTGGACTATATTGTGTCCGGAATTGGTGGGTTCTCGGTCTCACTGACTTGAAGAATGAAGCCGCGGACCCTCGCGGTGAGTGTTACAGTTCTTAAAGGCGGCGGTGTGTCGGGAGTTTCTTCCTTCTGATGTTCGGATGTGTTCGGAGTTTCTTCCTTCTGGTGGGTTCGTGGTCTCGCTGGCTCAGGAGTGAAGCTGCAGACCTTCACGGTGAGTGTTGCAGCTCTTAAGGAGGCGCGTCTGGAGTTGTTCGTTCCTCCCGGTGGGTTCGTGGTCTCGCTGGCTTCAGGAGTGAAGCTGCAGACCTTCCCGGTGAGTGTTACAGCTCATAAAGGCAGTGTGGACCCAAAGAGTGAGCAGCAGCAAGATTTATTGCAAAGAGCGAAAGAACAAAGCTTCCACAGCGTGGAAGGGGACCCCAGCGGGTTGCCACTGCTGGCTCTGGCAGCCTGCTTTTATTCTCTTATCTGGCCCCATCCACATCCTGCTGATTGGTAGAGCCAAGTGGTCTGTTTTGACAGGGCGCTGATTGGTGCGTTTACAATCCCTGAGCTAGACACAAAGGTTCTCCACGTCCCCACCAGATTAGCTAGATACAGTGTCCACACAAAGGTTCTCCAAGGCCCTACCAGAGTAGCTAGATACAGAGTGTAGATTGGTGCATTCACAAACCCTGAGCTAGAAACAGGGTGTTGATTGGTGTATTTACAATCCCTTAGCTAGACATAAAGGTTCTCCACGTCCCCACCAGACTCAGGAGCCCAGCTGGCTTCACCCAGTGGATCCCGCACCAGGGCTGCAGGTGGAGCTGCCTGCCAGTCCCGCGCCGTGACGCACGCACTCCTCAGCCCTTGGGTGGTCGATGGGATTGGGCGCCGTGGAGCAGGGGGCGGTGCTCGTCGGGGAGGCTCGGGCCGCACAGGAGCCCACGGGGTGGGCGGGGGCTCAAGCATGGCGGACTGCAGGTCCCAACCCCTGCCCTGCGGGAAGGCAGCTAAGGCCCGGCGAGAAATCGAGCGCAGCGCCGGTGGGCCGGCACTGCTGGGGGACCCAGTACACCCTCCGCAGCTGCTGGGCTGGGTGCTAAACCCCTCATTGCCCGGGGCCGGCAGGGCCGACCGTCTGCTCAGGGTGCGGCGCCCGCCAAGTCCACGCCCACCCGGAACTCCAGCTGGCCGGCAAGCTCCGCGCCCAGCCCGGGTTCCCGCTCGCGCCACTCCCTCCACACCTCCCTGCAAGCTGAGGGAGCCGGCTCTGGCCTTGGCCAGCCCAGAAAGGGGCTCCCACAGTGCAGCAGCGGGCTGAAGGGCTCCTCAAGTGCCACCAAAGTGGGAGCCCAGGCAGAGGAGGCGTTGAGAGCGAGCGAGAGCTGTGAGGACTGCCAGCACGCTGTCACCTCTCAATATGATCTAAGGTATAGTGTAAGTTAATGGGAAATTGGATTCAGTGTACAGAATTTTGTCCTACAAAAACGTCATCTTTCACATTTGAGGTAGAATGTTTAATAGTTAGTAGAGATGGTCTTTGCATCAGGCCTGATACTTGGCATTGTGTTGCATGAAAAAATTACTACTCCTTTTTTTTGCTTTGCTTGTTTTTTTACTCATCCTTAAATGAAGTTTAGAACAGTCCTTACTCCAGATGTTAGAGGTAAAGATTCATATAAAGCATTTAGTAAATAATGCATTTTAGTTATTTCAATTGTTATCATCACATTGCAAAATAAGCATATACACATTCAAAGGTTCAAGCCTCTTTTTCCTAATAAAGTAGAGAATCATCAGGATGATTCTTCTCTCTTTCACAGCGGTTACTGTCCTCAGCAGACCAGGAGAGAATTCTAAGATCTAGCCTCTTGGAAACTTTTTGACTTTCCATTACAATGCAAAAGAAAATAATGTCATCTATTATTGAACTATAATCATGCCTAGAAAAGAACATGCTCATCCCCATCTCTAAGGTCACATTCTTTTCTCTATCCATCCACATCTCTACCTATCTAGATCCTAATGATCATTTAACATCTAAATGTACTGCTTGCATCTTCTATGATGTGGTTTGACTCTGTGTCCCCACTCCAATCTCAGCTTAAATTGTAATCCCCCTGTGTCACGGGAGGGACCTGTAATTCTCTCGTGTTAAGGGAGGGAAGTGATTGGATGATGGGGGCAGTTTCCCCCATGCTGTTCTGGTGATAGGGAATGAATTTTCATGAGATCTGATGGTTTTATAAGGCAGTTTTCCCTGCTCTTGCTCACTCTCTCTCACCTGCCGCCATGTAAGATGTGCCTGCTTCCCCTTCCACCATGATCGTAAATTTGCTGAGGCCTCCCCAGCCATGGGGATCTGTGGGTCAATTAAACCTCTTTCTTTATGAATTACCTAGTCTCGGTTATGTCTTTAAAGCAGCATGAGAACGAACTAATACACTCCATGATGACTTGCCGCTGCATGCGTTACTCTTTTCACACTCTAGGTACTGTAACACTTTGATTGCATTTATAATCGTTCTCAAAGTTAGTTAATAGTATAAAATTTAATCAATATACAAGAGACTAGACAAGACTATGTTCCATTCCCACTGAAAGAGAAAGGTTATGTACTACTTGAATCTGTATCTATTTTAAAAATATTCTGGCTGGGTGCAGTGGCTTATGCCTGTTATCCCGGCAGTTTGGGAGGCCGAGGCAGGTGGATTACTTGAGGCCAGAAGTTTGAGACCAGCCTGGGCAACATGGCGAAACCCCATCTCTACTAAAAATACACAGATTAGCCAGGCGTGATGGCATGCGCCTGTAATCCCAGCTACTCGGGAGGCTGAGGCACAAAAATCACTTGAACCTGGAAAGCAAAGGTTGCAGTGAGCTGAGATCACACCACTGCATTCCAGCCTGGGAAATAGATAGAGACTCTATTGCAACAACAACAACAAAAAATTCAACCCTCCTTTCAATCAAAACCCGTAACAATATTCTAAGCCAGAGTTGTGTAAACTACTGGAATGTATCTCTTTCCTTTCAAGGAGAAAAAGATAACATCCTTGCTACTGCTCAGCTATCAAGTGAAGGCAAAAGCAGGTCAAGATGAATTTAAACAAATTATTCAAAATTCAATATGAAATAGGTTGGAGACTCCATTATGGTTGGCAACAAGTCATTAACAGGTAGGATGCAAATAGAGAAGTTTAGAAAATTGAAAAGCTGTGAGGACGTTGCCTTGTGGTATATCCTAAACAACAGCATTGGGAGTGTTTTCAGAGTTCTTATGTGACCACCGAAGTCCTGCCCTAACCAACACTAATGCTGCTGCCTCCAGAGTAGCAATAATGGGTGTGATGTCTTTGACTGCACATTTTTTGTTGTGATCCATTCAAATTTCTACTCTCCCCATATGACTTTGTAATCCATTATTCATCATAACAACCTGGCAGACGATGACTGTATGAACTCTAGAAGCTACATTTAATTATGTTCTACTAGAAAGCTGGGATATTTCATATCGTCATAACAATAACTCAATTCATATGTGTTCTTTGGGGAGGCCAGCCCTAAACAAAAGTGCCATGTTAGCTTTCTTACCATAATGCCATGATACCACCTTTAACTGAAATTCTCATTATTCAAGTCACAAAAGCATTAGGCTGCAAAGCTGGGTCATTGTCTTCTGAAGCTGCCATTGTAATACCTGCACAGGGGAAACATACAGGGATGATAGGATTCTTGGGAAAACTTCCAGGAAGGAACATGTCCCTGGATAAGAAGCATCAGAAAAAGGGCAGGGAAGAAGTATGATCATTAGGCTGGCCACTTACCAGATAAGGACAAGATGTTCAATTGATTCTATAGAGCAACATAAATCTTGGTTATCATTTTTCTCCATTCATCCTTTAAATTCATTACAACTATTTTTACTTGAAATGATGACCAAAGTGGCTTTGGTTCTTTGAATTTTGAGGTGTGTGAAATTTAGTATTTCTTTGAAACCTAGACACTTTCATTTACTTGCAGCCAATAATCATTATAATACAAAGAGATACATTGAATTTACCCATCAGAAAGAACATGTAGTAATGCAATAACACGGTAGTGAATATTTTACTTATTCTTCCTTGCTGTGCTCAGGGGGGCAGACATTAGATGTGATGTTAGGATCATGGACTAATCCAAATTGAAGGCAAATGTGGTATCTCTTTAAAGAGATAGCATTAGGAAACATAATTCTATTTACTCCCTTCCCCATGTTCATTCCGCTTTGTTAGATTCTTTAGAGAGATAAGCAGATATAAAAATATAACTCAATTGCCTAATCTATCATATGTGATTCATAAACACCACTTCAATTTCACCCAAATATTGCTTTCCTTTCTGAACTAAATCTGGAGAATTGTAATGACAATTCTGTAATCAAAACTATTTTATTTTTTTTAAAGAGTGCCAAAACCATCAGGCAGTGCTTGAAACCTGCAAGAACTTTAAACTGTTTACTAATAAATCAGTTTCGTACAAGCCATTTTTAATCTTTTGGCAATTTGATTAGGCAAAGGCAGTAAGAGTGAACACTTCTTATATTCATATATTTTTACCTTTAATTTACATATGTTTCTTTGTCTATATAGGATCTGGGGGAAAAACTGAAGGCAAGATTTTTATTTATATATCTGTTGAAAGATGCCAAGCCTCCTTTTCCCATAATGAAATGGTGTATTTAGTCACTTACATGCATGCAAACCTTGTCTCCCCTTCACAGTGGGATTCTCTGTCTTCCTGTTATTTCTAAATATTGCTGTTTATATGCCATATTACATTCTCTAATTTCCTTTTATCTTTTCTTTATTTTGCAATGTCTCAGCACGTGTCTTTTTAAGACAAGTTAATTTAGGCAATTACTCCAGTTTGGTTGAAGATAAAATCTTTAATTTATCCAGCCCTCCTTTTATTCTTTCTAGGATACTCTTTCCATTAATTTCATGAAACATTCTAATTCTGTAGTTTAGAGAAAAGCTAATATCATCCATATACACATGCATGTGCGTGCACGCGCGCACACACACACACTCAGATGCAAACCACACATACCTATACTTTCAAAACTAATTTTTTTTCCTTTTTTATAGTAAATGATTATTTGCATTTTTCAAAGTGTCTGATATGGTAAGAGATTTCAATTTGAGAAATCCACATTTCTTATGTATGTGTTATTTTTAAACTGTTTTAACTCATTTATGTTTTAGTAAACTAAGTTTCAGCTCTTTTATCAAGGGAATATTTTGACAGAATAGAGAATAAGGACCCAGAATGTCTGCAGGAATACCTGAAGGCATTATTATTGAAAAAGGCATAAAGAGAAGTACTGAAAAGCTTGAAACACTTGAAAATAGAAATGCCATTTTTTTCATTCATCAGTTCATCAAAACATTGCATGTATGAGTTGCTGTTTTAGGCAGAAGAGCAGGTGAAAAATGCCATCCCCAATCGTCAGGTTAGAAAGAGATATGTGAGATATAAAAAATGATGTGGAGTCTAGTAAATGAATATAGATGGAAGTGACCAGCTCTACCCGGGGCAAGTTTAAAAAGAAAGGACGTTTGAGATGAGTATTCAAGATAACAAGAGCAGCTAAAAATTACCTGTCTTATTGATTTCATAATTTAGATGTATTATGTGAGTTAATTATTAACATAGATGTATCCAGCCTATATCATTTGACATGTTTAAATGCCTTTATTCTTGTACTTCTATAAACTACTGCTGCTGCTAATTTGGATGACCTGGAAGAGATAATTGTCTCACATGCTAGATGTTTTATTCCTAAATATTTGCTATCTACTGCTCTCATGTGTAAATAGGTACTTTGTTCATACTGTATAAATAGTGCAATGAAAATGATACACCCAAAATATAAATACATTGATTCAGATTATGAGAAGATAACCACAGAAACTGTATTACCAGTGACAAAATATTTCAATATTTCATTATTCATTTTGAAAAGCATTGGGGTTACAATATTTGTGCACCTTCTCCAATTCGCTTGCCTGCCTCTTTCCTGACTCCTTTACATTTTGTTCCTCCTCACTCCCAGAGCCTGGTGCTTGAACTTTCCAGTAAATTTAATCTTTTTCTCAAGCTCCATTTGCTAGAGGCCCCAGGTCAACACAATTTCTGCCTCAGGATGGGGCTTTGGAGTTGGATTAATTAGCTCTTGGAAAACAACAACAATAAAAATCTGCATTAAGTGACATCATAATAATTATTTAAATGGATTGTGATGGTGAGGAATTATTTATGACAAGAGTAGAGTCCTTATAAATATGAGAGTAAAAGAGCCAGAGAAGTTGCTATCCAAATTATTACCTGACCAGAAAGCTAGAGGACAGTAGATTAGCAGCCTTGGAAGTTTTTTGATGACAAAGTTAGGACTTTCAGGGTCGAAGATTGGGACACTGAGATCTGGGATGGGGCAACGGGTGGATAAACTGGAAAATAGAAAATTTTCAAACTTTAGCCCCTGGCTGTTGTCATAGGACATAATTCAGCGCCCCCTTCCCCACTCCGGGAGGGGAAGGAATGAGACCTTAAGGAGGTAGATGTCTTACAATAAGACATTTAGTCCCTTAGGCTATGCTCCCATCTCCCCATGTTGTCTACAGGGCGTAACCAAAGTCATATCTCAGCTCAGCCTTGGAAGGGTAGTCAAAGCTCCACGAAGAAATAGCCTATATCTGAAAGGTAATGGCAGCACCTGACAAAGAGTGATGAGACACTGGAAAGGAGGTGTGAGTCTGAGTCTTGACTGTAAGATTGGAAAGGGAGATGGAATATATCCAGAATCTCATGAGTCAGAATTTAATATTTTGGAAAGGATGACAGGAATTGGTCCTCTTAATTTGCTGAGTTTGCTCCTAGGAACCTAGACTCTGTGATGGCCAAAAGCTCCCAAAGTGGAAATGCAAAAAAATTCCTTGGCAAAATGTTAAATAGGCAATCAGAGAGTTCTGGCAGAGGAGACTGGTATCATGGCTTTTTGTATATAGTTCAAGAATCCACAAATGTCTAACTTCCCAGGAGTGGATGAAGAATCATCTCTTCACTTGAAGAATAAGTAATGTACTACTGGGGCCGGGCGCATTGGCTTACGCCTGTAATCCCAGCATGTTGGGAGGCTGAGGTGGGCGGATCATGAGGTCAAGAGATCGAGACCATTCTGGCCAACTTGGTGAAACCCCTCTACTAAAAGTACAAAAATTAGCTGGGCGTGGTGGCGCTCGCCTGTAGTCCCAGCTATTTGGGAGACTGAGGCAGGAGAATTGCTTGAACCCGGGAAGCTGAGGTTGCAGTGAGCCAAGATCGCGCCACTGCATTCCAGCCTGGTGACAGAGCGAGACTCCGTTTCAAAAAAAAAAAAAAAAGAAAAAAGTAATGTACTACTGGAGTGGGGGTGGGTACAAGAGTATTTACTAGTCTTTACCATGACTGTCATGGTAGTGACAGTCCTCTCTAGGGCGAGGTCTTTAGTATCAAATGCCTCCTTTGACCAGGCTTCCCTATTATTTCTAGGGAAGGTGAGATTCCAGAATGGCTGCAAATGTGAGCATTTAATCATCAGCACCAAGACAGATATACTCACCACAATGGACAGTAGAACCAGAGTGCCAAACAAGGTTTTAACCCACAACGAAATATGGTCACAGTTAACAGACTGTGGTATTCCCATGGTGGTGAGCTAGATGGACAACTGACTAGGGTGCATGAATTATTTTATAAAAAAAGAATCAACAGCAGTTTAGCAGAGGGCTAATGGCAGCTATTGGAATGGACATCTTCATGACTGCTTACCCAGTTTCCATAGATAAGCTGTGCCAGATACCCACGACACATTGATGGACATGGAAGCTGGGTTACCTAGAGCAGTGACCTTGCAATTTCCTACCAAGTATATGCAATAAATATCCCAATTGTTCCTCTAAAGAATCATGTTGCTCTTGCCAAGGCAACTTTTTACTGGAGAATGAAAAAATATGCAGATTTTCAAAAGGATGTTAAGTATGGGGTTCTAGATGACTTGATATTTGGAGATTTGAAAGGCTACTATGGTTCACCAGCTAGAATGGGGGTAAAGATCAAGTGATAAATACAATTCTGGTTGAGGTCATTTTACAGGTCTGTGGGCCCACCTTGCGCTACTTACCCAGTGACCTGACACAGTGGGAGGCCATAAGTGGACATGAGTAGTATGAATGGGCATTGAGTGGGATATAAACATTGTGGACCTTCTCATTTTCCCTTGGCTGCCTCTACTCTTTCATGGTCAACAGTGTTTCCATGTTGATTTTTCTTTTTCATTTCCAGACTTGGGTGAAATGTCCCACCAGACGGTGTGATATTTAGTAGCCCAGAAAGCTGCCAAGGGGTTGAATGACACTATCTGAAGATATGAACCAGTTTGCTCTCCATAGGGAGGATTTCATCAACAGGAAACAGATGCCTGGAAGGCATTGGGTCAGTAAATTCTCCCCCTGTACCCTTTCATGAGATGCTCTGTGGTGTGGTTCCTCCTTGTAAGCCTTCCAGAAAAGCCCTGCTTGACAAGTCTACTTGCGTCTGAGTGATCGCTTGGGTCTCTTTATGGCTTATGGTAAAGAAGTTGCCATCACGGTAGTGAATTGCAAAACAATGATCTTGATCTTTAATTCCTTCACTTCTCCTTTTCTCCTCACCTTTACTAACCGGGGCTTGGACTTTCCAAACAACATCTACACTTTGATCTTTGCCTTAGGTTCTAATATAGGAGCCAGAATAAAGACACTATGCATATTTAAAGACAATTAACTGCTTTTCAGCCAAAATATTTTTGCCGATGTGGGGGTGTTATTTCACATGTTCTGTTGGGGTAAAGTTCCTGAGTATTGAAAATACAAATTCAGCATTCTTTTCTTTTAGTTTAACACAGATTATATTGTAATTAGCCAATGTGGACAAGACATCATAATGAGCCACATTAGGTCTGTTTCATATCATTTGGTCTGCCATTCATTTCTTTTGGAGACTTTTAGATTGGCAAGTTGAATGAGAATGTATGCACCTCCTTCCTCTTAGCAATTACCACTCTCTCACTTTCTCTTTTGAATTTCAGTCAGTTCTGACTAAGCACTGTATCAATTTCCTCCTCTTCCAGCAATGCCATTTCCTCTCCTTCTGTCTCAGTTACTGTCTGTGTTATCAGGTAACCTAAGATAAAAAGTTTAGCTCATGCATCCTCCATACACAAAGTGATTTGTATGCTAGTTTTACAAAGAGCAGGTGCACTGCCAGAGAAGCAGGGTGGTGCTCCCAGGAGGTCTGATCAACAGAGGCTGATGAGTGAAGGGAGAACGTGGTTCTCCCTTGAGGGCAATGGACCAGAAATAAATCTGGAGAGATTCACGAAGAATGCTGGAGGATGGTAAATAGTTTTATCCACAAGGCCACAGAGGCTGATGAGGAGATATAAGACCCAAAGGTAAATACTAAAAAGTGTGTTTTTACTACAAAATAGAAGACATCTCTCAAGTGAAAAATGTCCCTCATTCATGATTTTTTTTTTTTGATAGAGTCTCGCTCTGTCACCCAGGCTGGAGTGCAATGGCACTATCTCGGTTCACTGCAACCTCCGCTTCCCGGGTTCAAGAGATTCTCCTGACTCAGCCTCCTGAGTAGCTGGGATTACAGGCATGTGCCACCTTGTCCAGCTAATTTTTTTTTTTGTATTTTTAGTAGAGATGGGGTTGCACCATGTTGGCCAGGCTGATCTCAAACTCCTAACCTCAAGTGATCAGCCTGCCTTGGCCTCCCAAAGTGCTGGGATTACAGGTGTGAGCTACCATGCCCAGCCCACTCATGATCTTAAGACTCCCTCATTCATCCTACAGGTCTTAAAGGGCAAAATGAGTCCATCAAACAAGCTCTAAAATAGTGTAAGTAGTAATAGCTCAACAGAACTTAGTATGTAATGAGATGTGCCACACAGCCAGTGAAATGCAGAGACTGGTGGTTTGGAAACTAAAGAGCATTGTCCTTGACTGTAGCCTTGAAAAGTTGCCAATTTCAGCATGGATAATGTCTTGAAATAAAATAAACAGCAGCATTGGCCACATGAGACTTTATATTGATGATCTGAAATTCACTACCAATTCAGAATGTATTGAAAGGAATTGCAGCAGCAACAAACTATAGTGGGTAAGCTCACACTAAAGTCAACACAAAGGATAGAGGCACACCTCACTCTGACAGATGAATTCCCTGCCATTAAAGATCACATTGTGGAAATTACAGGCAAGCATACAGATATCTGGATTCATATCATTCAATGGGCTTGGCCATACAGTAATTAAAGAAAAATTGAAGGAAGCATTTATTTCATTTTTAAAGGAAATATGAAAAATCAACTTCTATACAGGCAACAATATAGAATCAAGGAATTTCTTTTAATTTCCAGAACTAACAAAATGTAGTATTATACAACTGATAGAGGAAAACTACGATTTGTAATATTTAGGAGTTAATTACATATTATATACCACCCAAAAGCTACAGTGGTGAGGATATCTCAATCATATGAAGACGGTGACAGTAAAGTGACTTTGTCTATAATTATTTTAAGATTGCACAATGAAGGAAAACTTCCCCAATCTTTAACTTGGTAATTAATATTATTACAGTTTAACATTCCTGAATTTTGGAAACATGACAAGTACATTTTAATACATACATAAAAAAGATGACAATAATTCAACAGCATGTTTGGTCGAGAAAATTTTAATATTGTCAATCATATAGAATAATATTTAGTGTAAAGTTCAGCTGATGCCTAATTTGTGTTGTAACATATAAAGCTTTTAAATTTGTTTAGGATAAGTTGTGTGCTATTATAAATGACAATATTTTATAATGGTAAAATATTACATAAAATTTAAGAAGATGGTATGCCTTCATCTTCCATACATTTAGAGATTATTAAGGTTAGTGCTAAAATTAAACACATAGTGACTATGAATTACTTATTGATTAGAATATTTTGCAAGTATAAACTTAAGGCTCTCCTAGAAAATGAATATTCAAAGATTGCTGGGCTTAGTTCAAGAAATAAAACAGCAACATATTCTTATGAAAAGTTTACATTTTTTTCTATTTCATAAACTTAGAAAGTTACTTAAAAATATGAGAAATACTGTTCCATTTAGGTTGGTGCAAAAGTAATTACAGTTTTGCCATTATTGTCAATGGGAAAAGCCCCAATTACTTTTGCACCAATCTAATAGCTAAATTGTCCTAAGACTTGTTTTCTAATTAATATGCATTTGCTGCTCCTTTGGCTTTGAATGTACAATAATTAGTTCTCACTTGGCAAAATCCTACCTATCCTTCTACAACCAATCATGGTTCCTTTTCATTATTTATGTATTCATCTACTCATTTATTCAAAACATACTTATTGAGTGACTATTAGATACCAGGCACTATTTTGGGTTCCATAAATGGGACAGGAAAGTAAGCCTGTTGCACTCATGGGAATAACATGTGAGTGGACGTTGCAGGCCATTAACAAGCAAACACGTGAATCTATTCTGCAGTCAGGTAATCATAAGTTCTGTGGTGAAAACTCACTAGGAAAAGGTGACGGAGGTGGGATCTAACCATGGGGACTGTTTTAAATAGGATGGTCCTTGGTGGCCTTTCTGAAAACTAAAACCAAGTAAGGTCTGAGTGTGGATGCAAGACCCTCAGGTAAGAATAAATTTTGTTTGTTCAAAGAACAGAAAAGACTTTGTAGACAGAGTAGGGTAATACAGTGGGATAGTGTTGGAGATAAACTTGGATAGGTATGCAGGTTCAGAGGACACAGGGCCTTGCAGTCAATGATAAAGCAATTGAGCCCTATCCTAAAAGTATTGGGAAGAATCCTAAGAATTTTGAACAAAATAGTGATGAAGTCTTATGTATAATTTCAAACAATTACTGTTGCTGTTGTAGGAAGAATAGATTGTAGGAATCAAGAAAATGTGGTACATATATACCATGGAATACTACGCAACCATGAAAAAGAACAAGATCATGTCTTTGCAGGGACATGGTTGGAGCTGGAGGTCATTATCCTTAATAAACTCACACAGGAACAAAAAAAAAACACATACTGCATGTACTCACTCATAAGTGGGAGCTAAATGATGAGAACACAAGGAAACTTAGAAGGGAACAACACACACTGGGACCTTTCAGAGGGTGGAGGGTAGGAGGAGGGAGAGATTCAGGAAAAATAACTAATGGGTACTAGGTTTATTACCTGGGTGATGAAATAATCTCTACAACAAACCCACATGACATACATTTACCTTTGTAACAAACCTGCTCTTGCACACCTGAACTTAAAAGTTAAAAACAAAATGTAAAGAGAAAAATTAGTAGCCGGAGTGAAAGATATCGGTGGGAAGAGTTTCAAGAGTGAAATGGTGTGAAGGAGTATGACAGAATTCTCCTCCTGGAGTGCTTTCTCTCCAGCATTGGGTGAGGGTTGTGTGCGGGTATGTGGGCTTGTGTGGTGGTGGGGAATGTGCTTCCAGTAGTCATGTGAGTGAGCAGCAGGAGAGAGATGTGAAGCGAGAAAGGTATTTTCCTGAAGACCCTCAGAGCACACTGATGCTTCGAGGTGGTCCCACATCATCCTGAATGGTCCTCTTTATTCCCTGTTCTCCTTGTAACCTGAATGAGTGTTAGGACACCAGGATAAGCCATAGTGGTAATAAAGTTCATTGCCAGAGATATTGTGTGGAATAGAGAGTTAGATCATGAAATTACAGCAAAAAATAAGTGAGGGAAGTAATTACCCTAAATCAGTCTGTGGCAGACAACAAAGTTGGTCACCAAATCTCGTTTTCTTTTCTTCTTGAGAATGCGGGGCGCCATTTTGGTGCTTTCCTAGATTAAGTGAGCTGTGTTCAGTGGAATGTGGGAGAAAGATGTGCTTGCCATTTCCTGTCCCGACCTCCAAAATTGGCTGTGTGGTCATCCACAGAGCATAAAATCGAATACTTCAAAGCCAGAGGGGATGGCTTCCCTCTCTACAGCAAACCTGCGTTACACTGTCTCTTTAGTCAGAACTAGTATCCTATTATATGAACTCAGCAAGATTTGGGGGTTGTTGATAGTGACAGCTGTCCTATCCTGTGTCATAAAACTTCCTATGTCTTTTCTTTTAAATATTTGCATTGAAAATGAACATTAGTTTTATCTTCTACAAGCAGGAATTATAGCAAAACAGATACCAAATTAATAAAACCTAGAGAGTAGTAGCAGAAAGGATTTCTCTCTTTAAACCCATGATACATTATTGTTAGTATTCTCCTAAACACAAAGAGGAGAAACGTGTTTATTTCTTTTAATAGAAAATAAGAGTCCTGAATCTACTCCATAAAAGTTAATTCTGGTGTCTGAAATGGATATACTAAACTTGGCCTCTTAAAAATGTGACATATAAGAATCATTTTTCCAAAGAAAATATCATCACTGGGGCTTACATATGGAGAACTATTTACATATTCCATTTTCTTATCACCAACTATTTTATTAATTATTATATACTAATAAGCATAAACATAAATGAGTAGGGATTTCAAATGGGCACTCATTAACTTCCTCTAGACTGATTGTGCAATGTCATTTTACAATATACATATTACACATGATCAAATGTTTCTTTTTGCCATTTTATGTTAATTATTAAACTTAGAATGAACCATTATAAATAATTATTAACATATCCTACTCATTGCTACTATCATTCATATTTTTATAACAAGGACTACATTCCAGAAAGAAAAACCTCATTATGTTCAAATATCATCTGTGCACTTTAGGCTTCAACTATTTAAAATATCAGAGAAATAACTAACATATTCAAGGGCAATTTTAAAACTGCCCTAATGAAAATAATGAGAAAAACAAAATTCCCATTATTTTTCTTGACTCTTTATTTATTTGGGGGACATTATTTTCTTGATATAGACACTATAAAAATAAATGCAAACAGTAATTAACTATTTTTCCATAAACGATGTAGAGCATTAATTTATGATAATATTTATGTAATGAAGAAGTTTCATTGGATTGCCAATTTATGATACTTGTCATCAGAGAAAATATTACTTTGGATTTTTTTTCTTAACAATAAGTCAAAATTGTTTTGTGAAACGAAAGACAAAAACATATTGAGGCATGCAAATACAAGATCTTAGCTTTCATGGTTCCAGGAACTTGAGCGGACTCAAATCCATGCTTTAGGTAGTACACAGGTTGCAGGAAAAAGGATGAATTTCATTTGGAAAATATTTTATTGATAGAGAATAAATAATAGTCTATATGGAAACAAAATAGCTGGGAGCATTATTCATATAGAAAACAATTGTCCATAAGACATAGTTATGAGTAGTGGAAAGAAGTTGTAAGAAGGAAGTTTGAAGTTTGAGGCTTCATATAATGGGTAAAAAATATGTGTTAAATTAGAATGAATTCTTACTTGAGACAGCAAGTTGCATTTCACTCAGATAATTAAGGATATCATTGGTTGGAGGTGCTGTGATACATGGACACGTGTGCAATTGCATGTGAAACTGGACTAGGTGACTGCTGGGGTCCCTTCTACCTCTGACATTCTATAGCTTTAAATGTCAGAAAAAATCCTCATTTTGCTTTCGACTGCATAAAGTCAATGTTAAATGTTTTCATCTGATTTATTATTGAATTGGCCACAGATGGCAATCTTATCAAGTAGTTACATATTTGTTATCAAGTTGAGAATAGTTGGCATAGGAATAAGGCTTAATGGTGCAGATAGAGCATCTCATCTACCATTTAGAACTCTATAAATACTAGATCATAGAGTTAGCCATGCTCCTGGGGAAATTGACCACCAGGTATGCATGCATTTTTCTTTATCCTAAGCAACCCAGGAAAATACCATGAAATATTTGTCCTCCATACCGCTGCACATAGCTACTGCAGAGAAATATAGGGAGATGTGCTGCCTCCTTCCCTCTTCAATGAAGGGGTGATTGTCCCAGGTTTGGGGGTTGCTGCTCTCCTGAGGGTGAAATAAGCCAGAGTTTCTCAAGTTTGGTAAAACTGACGTTTAGGGCTGGGCAACTCTTTGTTGTAGGTGGCCATCCCATGCATTATAGGGTGTTGAGCATAATTCCTGTCTTCTACTCACCAGATGCCAGTAGCAACTCCCCACCCCCACCTTGGTCATGATAATAAAAAATGTCTCCATCCTTATCAAATGTCCCCTGGGGTGACAAAATTGCCCCCATATGAGAACTACTGGTCTAAAATTGTCAGGTCAGCAGCTCCTCCCACTTTCCCTTTCCCCACTGGGTATTGATTCCAATGAAACATCACAATAAACGTCTCAAAAGCCAGGCACGGTAGCTCACGCCTGTAATCCCAGCACTTTGGGAGGCCAAAGCGGGGGATCACGAGCTCAAGAGTTCGAGACCAGCCTGGCCAACATAGTGAAACCCCGTCTCTACTAAAAATACAAAAAATTAGCTGGGCGTGATGGCAAGTGCCTGTAGTCCCAGCTACTTGGGAGGCTGAGGCAGGAGAATCGCTTGAACCCGGGAGGTGGAGGTTGCAGTGAGTCAAGATTGTGCCACTGCACTCCAGCCTGGGTGACAGAGCGATATTCCATCAAAAAAAAAAAAAAAAAAATCTCAAACATAACCCCTGTCTCGGATTCACAGAAAAAAAGAAATGCTACTTAACTCCAAAATTGACTAGTTACTAGGTTCTTAGGAGGATGACTCTAAATCAGCAAAACTATTTTTAACTTCTTGCAGAGGCTGTTTAAAAAAGCAGAGAGATTAAAACCTGAAATAGGTGGACAGCACTTTAGCAAATGACCCATGTCTGGGTGTGTAAAGATACAGGGAGACAAAGTGAACAGCACTTTAGTAAATGAACCAGTGTCTGGGCGTGTAAAGATACAGGCAGAGGTGAATTTCGGGGATGGGTGGAATTAGTCTGCATGGTTTAAAAAGAGGGTTTTGTTTTTTTTTTTTTTTTAAGTATCAAGGTCACATGGGGCAGCAGTCTAGTCAGTAGAAACGTGGAGATAAACAACATTGAGAGAGGCTGGGGCCTGTGGAAAAATTAGTCTAAGTAAAAAGCGGGGAAGGGATAAATAATTAGCTTATTGGTGTTATTGCGACATGAGTAAGACTTTTTATCCTTGAACTATCAGTAAAAATCTGCCACACCCACAGATACCTTATATACATGGGGTGTGTGTGTGCATGTGTGTGTAAAAAATGAGGAAAATGGGCTGTATTTCATTCTACAGGCACAGCCTTTTATAGAAAATCAGCATACACAACACAGGCATGTTGATCCTTAAAATGAATGTCTTCAAGAGTAGCCTTAAGTTTGACGCACAAGGGGGAAATATGCATGTTCTCAGGCCTCCCCCAAATCTCAGGAGAGAAAAAAGCAGAAACCCAGCTCCTTTAAGTAGTAAGTAAGGAACTAGACATTCATGGGAAATCTGTGCCAGTTCAGATGAAATTTTAAAAAGCTAGGTCTCTTTGCTGACATCTCGGTTATCCAGAAATATAGTTCATACTTATTTAGTATTTCACATTTTCCAAAACATTTTTCACATACAGCACCTCGACTGAGATATATCATACGGTATTTTGCATCTTTGCTTTGACATACTATTATTATTCAAGCTCCAACTAGAAGATCTCCTCAGAGGCTTGAGTCCTGCTCCTTCAGTCTCCTTTGTCCTTTATCCATATTTCTATCAGAGTGCTTAGACCATAAAATCAATGATTGCTGTAAAGTGTTTTCTCCTCTACTAGAATGGAAGCTGAACAAAGGCCAGAACTATAATGCACTCACTTTGTATCACTAAATCCCAGCACAGAGCCTTACCCACAGTGGACATTTAATATATAGTAATTGAAAAAGAAGAAGTATAAAGATGACCGTCATTTCAGTTTTTAAAGATGCAATCCAAGTATATCTGTGTAAAATGTGTTTTCATGCTGTTACCTCACTAAATTATAGGCTGTACAGATTATCAAAATTAGAAAAATGGACATCGATAAAAAAATAAAGGAATTCAACATGCAAGCATGTTAAGTGCATGCTAATATATAATGTGCTTATAAAATTTTAAAAATATACATGTTTAAAATGTGATTAATGTAGAAATGCCATTGAAATTATTTTCTTTGATCCTTTTATTGGTGCTAAACGATGGTGCTTCTTAGTTGCAATAATAGCTACAGACAAGAAAGGTATGAATATCCTTACTTTTGTTCACAATAATTTTCAGTTCAAGTTTGTTAATGTAGACTTAGAAAAAAGAAGAAATTTTTAAAAACGTTTTACTATATTAATAACACCTCATAAAAGGTTGTTCTATTGACTGCGTAAAATGACTTTCAAATATTTGTAGCATCAGATCATACCTTTCCTGTAGTTACCAGTTGCTGGCCCTAAGGTACATTTTCATGTAGCTAGTTACATGCTTTGTCTTTCATCTCTCGCCAGACCTTCCTTCTTTAATCACTGTGGTTTTATGTGTGGGGTAGACGGTTGTTGTTGGGGTTTCTGCTTTTTTAAAACAAAACAAAATGAAAACCCAACATTTCTTAATTGGGGTAGGTGTGGATCAGACTTGGGATTATTCTTCTCTGAACTTCTTCCAATGTGTCTGGGGCTTAGATGCCTCAAACTGAATTCAGCATCCAGGTGTGATATTCTTAGAATTTCAGATACTTGTCAGTCCATAATGAAATGAGACATGTCTTCATTTGTCACTTAGTAGAACTTTTTTAGTGCTTAAGTTCTGTCATCTTGATTGCCACTCTTGTTTTGAGCCAAAAAATGGATATCCACAAGCCAATATGTCTATGAGTCTTAAATAGCTTTTTCATAAAGGTGCTTTTCATGTTAAGTAGCCCAGTTATCCATAGTTGTGCAACAAACTACCCCAAATCTTAGTAGCCTAAAACAGTGATTTTGCAGATGGTTTGTGGATTTGGAATTTGGGAAAAGTTTGGCTGAGTGTTTCATCACTAATTCACGTGACTTTAGCTGGGGCAGAAGGGACTGAACAATTCATCTTGAAGATGGAATCTTTACGTGTGGGACACCAATGTGCTCTTTGCCCTCACCCCAATCCCTTGGTGGTTTCTCATTCTCTAGTCCTCTCTAAATGGCTTCCAGGGACAGATCAATTTAGGTGCCAATTCACCAGGTGAACAAACTGTGGCCAGAGAGACAGGGTCCTTACAAAAGAGGCAAATTTCCTGCCAGCCTCATTATTAAAGAAGAGAAGTGAATTCCTAGGCAATGGGAGAGCATCATGCCTCCAATATGTCATTATAAATTGAAACATGAGTTTTTCTATTAATATGATTAACTCAATCTGTTTTGCTTCACCACAAGTAACCGTCACAGAAAAGAGGATATAACATCATATATTTAGTTGATGGATAAAGTTATACATATGAATGCTGTTCCTCCTTTGTGTGAAAGTTTGTTAGAAAAATATTTTTTCCTTCATTTGCCTCACCTCTAACTATTTCTATAGACCTCATTCTTTCCACTTCCTGTGTGGTCATTTCCTGTGCATTTACTTTCCAAGTCTAACTCCTTGTATTGTATGGAGCATGAAATTCTACAACCCTCAAAAATGGTAGTCAGGATTTCAGGTCCTAAGAATGTGGGCACCTACAACTGAGATATATGCATAAAGCAGAGGCACAAAATATTGATCTGTCTCTACAACAGGAACTAAATAACTATTTTCATCTGAGGGAACTGCAAAGAAACTGGTGATCTACTTGCAGCCCTGGGTGGAAAAGGAGTAACTCTTGAAAAGTGGGAAATCCAAGCTGCTCCTACAGGAGATATGGGATCTAAATTCAAATCATATGTGAGTACATCTCGGATTGATCAATTAATGTAAGAACTAGTGAGAGACTGATACATTTCCTAGTGCCACGAATGAGACAAATTTAAAAAAAACTACTATACTGAAATACACATGGGGTGGACTCCCATGAAGAATCGTCTTTGAATCCTACGTATTATTATAGCATATATATCATATCATATATCACATATATCGTGTCATATATATGAACCATTGTAACATATATACATCGCACAAGAGTAAATTTTTAGGGTGTTTCACTAGAATCAAATGCTCAGAAAATGTGCCCTAATAACTAAACAGTATAAATATATTTAGAAAGACTTTAAACCAGATCTGTTTGAAGGATCTGCTTAAATAATAGAACACATGCACCCAAAGAGAGGTATAAATATAAAGATTATTTAAAGACAAAACCCCCTAACTTTCTAGATCTAAAATAAGAAATTAGTTCACAGGTTGAAGGCTACACCAATCTTCAAACGATATTTTCTTCACAGAAATAGAAACAATTATCCTAAAATTCATTTGGAACCACAAAAGACCTCAAAGAGCTAAATACGTTTTGAGCAGAAAGAATAAAGCTGTTGGCTTTATACTGCCTGATTTCAAATTATATTACAAAGCTATATTAATAAAAACAATGTGGTACAGGCATAAATATAGACACATAGACCAATGGAACAGAATAAAGAACACAGAAATAAATTCACACATGTACAGATAACTGATATTTGACAAAGATACCAAGAACACACATTGGGGGAAGGACAGTCCCTTTAATAAACGGTGCTGGACAAACTGAATATCCACAGAAGAATACAGCTATACTCTTAACTTTCACCATATGCAAAAATCGATTTGAAATGGATTAAAGATATAAATGTAAGACAAGACAGAATAAAACTACTAGAAGAAAACCTAGGGGAAATGCTTCATGACATAGGTCTGGGCAAAGATTTTTTTGGAGAAGGTCTCAAAAGCACAGGTAACAAAAGCAAAAGTAGACACATGGATTGTAGTTTGAGCACTAGAGAAAGGGATAATTTTAACCCACTTTTAATATTTTTTGTGTTCATTCACAGTAATATTCACCTGTTAATTTCTTTCATAACACTATATATATAATTTTCTTGTTAATTTATTTGCTGATTTGCTTATTATAGTTATTTTTTCTTTATTTCAAACCCTTGTGTCAAGGGCTGACTTTCAATAGATCAAATTGAGAGAGCTGCTCTGCTGTGTACAAAATCCTGGCCCAGGAAGTTTTTGTATCACACCAGAAAATACAAAACACGGGACTTTCTGTGACATTCACTATTCTCAGTGTCTATCCAGAGCTGGGCACTTAGGGGATACTCGTTATATCATCACAATCTGCTGTTTTATCTTATTAATGTTACTGGAATCAATTCCCTTTGTTTATAGGTTCACTATCATCACCCTTTTTAGGCTTTTGCCATTTTTGGCTGGAACCTTACAATAGGTTGTTACCCGGTGTCTCTTCACTGTCAGTCTGTCCCTAACTCTCAAATTACCCCCTTCACTTGCCACCAGAGAACATGCTCTTAAACACATCTTTTAGCCCTCTACTCATCCTTTGGAGGGTGCCCCAGAACCTTTAAGAGTCTGCCTATGATTCTTAGTATGGCATAACAACCCTCATAGACTAGCTAGTGCTCATATCTCTATCTCTAACTTTATCTCCTCCCATTTCCTGCCTGCCATTTACTCTCTAGCAAAAATCAACCACACATAGTTTCCCAGCTACATCTTTCATGTTTTTATAGTTTTGCCTATGTTTGTTCATAATATCCTTTTTTCTTTAGGTTATTTTTCCCACACCGTCTTTATCACCACCCTAACTTTTATCTATACATCAAGTTTCAGCTGAAAACTTATCTTCAAATTTTCTCCCACCATGCCACAGTTTGGTATGTTATCTCTCCAGAGTCATCACGTCACACACTTAAATATCCTCTCAACACTACTAGTTTATATCTGTTTGGATGCTGACTAACTTATTTGTCTGTAGTCTTTGATGAAGGATAATATACCTATTTATATTTCTATTACCTAGCCTGCAGTAGGCACTCACTTCTATACGCTGAATGAATAAACTTTCCAGGAGATAACAAACAGAAAAAGGAATGGAATGATATGAGCTTGTCTTTAATAACTGGCACTCTCATTGGCAGTACTAAAGTGAAATGAAATTACTAAGGGGTAGACAATGGAGTTGAAAGTAAAAAATGAAGAAGCTAAAGAAACTGTAACTCTGCCCGTTCTAAAGAGTTCTACTGATAAATCGAGTTGAGTATGTGATTTAAAACCCGACCTTCACTAATTTCCATCTCAACTCTATGTTGGATTTTTGTTTGTTTGTTTGTTTGCTCCCAAAGTCAACAAGCAAAGAGTACTTTGTTCAGATATGCAGAAATTAAAGTGTCAGTGATTTCAAGACTTCATAGAAATGTATTGTTGATACTTCAGGTTTAGATACCCTGAAATTGGTTATTCCATGGGAAATACTATCTCCCTGTTTAGATAGGGAAAACATAGAGGATCCCCTCTATGCTATTTCCAATGTGTTTTACCATTAGAGTTCTCAGAAAGAGACCCTTCTTCTAGCTTTCTGCTAAAAGTAATTAAAGCCTTATAGTCTAGAAAAAGAGGGTTAAGAGTGCCTCAGCAATTAAACCTTCTTTTCTTGCAAGGGAAAAAAGTACAAGGAAGACTACAGAACTAAAAGAGTGGAAATAAAACAAATGAGGGTTTTTAGCCACAGGAGGTTATTTGACTAAACAATGGGTAAGTCCTTCTCTAGGGGGGTCTCTCTTTGATTATTTGGTGATCCCGTAGTCCTTTCATTCAAATTCTGTGAAGCAAGAAATATGGCTTGCTATACATGTAGTCTTCTAGAATGAATATACTTCATAAAGAAGAAAACAGATGAGTAATTTGCAGGTCAGATTCATGTTTGGAAGAGAAGTGTACTCTAAGAGAAGCAGTGTCTTGAGGCTATTCAGGGTAGCGGAGACCTTCCCCACAAACCATTGTTGTCTCCTAGGCCTGTGGGCCTGTGATGGAAGGGGAAGCCTCAGAGATTTCTGAAATGCCTTCAAGGCTTTTCTCCCCATTGTCTTGGATGTTACCAGCTTCCTCCCTTTTGGTCAAACAAATCTCCCTAGCAAGTGGTGGCTCCACAACTTCGTTCTATATACATTCTTAAATAGTCTTAGTTTAGACTATTAAACTAGAAATGATTTAGAAATATCTAGCAGAATAACCTTATTCTAAAGATGAAGAGAGAAAAACCCAAAAACTGTAGGCCTTGTGAATACAGGAACCTCGTTTTTCACATTTTTTTAATCTCAAAAAAACATTGACAAACTTTCCTTGCATAAACCTTTGGTGTCTACCAATCTTAAATGCATTGTGGTAATATAACCACCCTGAATTATGCCAAAGTTGTTGGATTTATGGTGTAAACAAGAATACAGATGCAACCTTGCTTGCAATAACTCCTTAACTTAGAATAATTCATTTAAACTTTCTGAATCTTAACTTTTTCAATCTGAAAACTGGGAATATAATAATACCCATCTTGAAATACTATTGTAAGAATAAAAAGAAAGTATGAGAAAATGTAGTGTAAACCAATAAGTATAATGCAAATAGTGATGATTACTATTATCAAAAGTTTTCACTAGTAGGTGTGTAAAAACTTAAAAAAATTTATGAGAGTCATAGCATTTTATTGATAGAGGTTATTTTGGATACTATCTAGCCTCTTCTTGTGTTGGTACATTTGCATTGCTATAAAATAATACCTAAGGCTTGGTAATTTATAAAGAAAAGAGGTTTATTTGGCTCATGGTTCTGCAGGCTATATATGAAGCATAATGCTGACATCTGCTTCTGATGAGGACATCAGGAAGCTTAAAATCATGTTGGAGGTTTAAGGGGAGCCAGCATATATCACGGTGAGAAAGGAGCAAGAGACAGAGGGGCATACCACACTCTTTAAACAACCAGATTTTGCTTGAATTCAGAGCAAGAACTCACTCACTACCACCAAAACAGCATGAATCCATTCATGAAGTATCTTCTTGCATGACTCAAACACCTCCCATCAGCTTCCACCTTCAACAATGGGGGTCACATTTCAACATGAGATTTGGAAGGGTCAAATATCTAAACTACATCATTCCCCTCCAGCCCCCAACATTGCATGCTCTTCTCACATTGCAAAATATAATCATCTCTTTCCAATAGTCCCCAAAAGTCTTAATTCATTCCAGCCTCCACTGAAAAGTCCTAAGTCCCAAGTCTCATCTGAGACTCAAGGCAAGTTCCTTCTACCTATGAGACTGTAAAATTAAAAAAAAAAAACAAGTTATTTACATTCAAGATACAATGGTGGTAGTACAGGTATTGGGTAAAATTCTCATTCCAAAAGGGAGAAATCAGCCAAAAGAAAGGGGCAACAGGCCCCACACAGTCTGAAATCTGTTGGGGTGGGCATTACACCTTAAAGCTCCAAAATAATCTCCTTTGATTCCATGTCCCACATCCAAGGCACACTGGTGCATGGGGTGGGCTCCCAAGGCCTTAGACAGCTCTACCCATGTGGCTTTGCAGGGCGCAGACCAAGTGGCTGCTTTTATGGGTTAGAGTTGAATGCCTGCAGCTTTTCCAGGGTCAGGGTACATGCAACTAGTGGCTCTATCATTCCAGGGTCTGGAGGTTGGTGGCCCCATTCCCACAGTTCCATTAGGCAGTGCCCTGGTGGGGATTCTATGTGGGGACACCAACCCCACATTTCCCCTCAGTGCTGCCCTAGGAGAGGCTCTCTGTGAAGGCTCCACCCCTGTGGTAGGCTTATGCCTGGACACTCAGTCTTTCTCAGACATCCTCTGAAATCTAGGTGGAAACTGCCAAGTTTCCTACACTTTTGCATTCTGTGTACCTGCAGACTTAATCCCACATGGAAGCCGCCAAGGGTTATGGCTTGCACCTTTAGGAGCAGCATCCTGAGCTACACCTGGGGCCATTTGAGCCACAGCTTGAGCAGGAGCAGTGGGTATACACTGAGCAGTGTCTTGAGGCTATGCAGGGTAGCAGAGACCTCCCCCACAAACCATTCTTGCCTCCTAGGCCTCTGGGCCTGTGATGGAAGGGGAAGCCTTAGAGATTTCTGAAATGCCTTCAAGGCTTTTCTCCCCATTGTCTTGGGTATTACCAGCTTCCTCCCTTTTGGTCAAACAAATCTCCCTAGCAAGTGGTGGCTTCACTACGTGGTTCTATATACATTCTAAAAATGATCTTTCCTATTTTACCACATGCTCAGGTTGTGAATTTCCTAAATTTTTATGCCCTGCTTCCCTTTTAGTTATAAATTCCAAATTTAAGTCATTAATTTGCTTCCATATATGATCATAGATTATTAGAAGCAGCCATGTCACATCCTGAATGCTTTGATACTCAGATACTTTAGTTACTTTCATACTTACATAAGTTCAGCTTTCCACAGGTTCCCAGGACATGAACACAATGCAGCCAAGCTTTGTGTTAGGGTGTAACAAGAGTGACCTTTGCTCCAGTTCCCAATGAATTCTTTGTATCTATCTGAGACCTTATCAGTGTGGCCTTTACTATCCATATTTCTATCAACATTTTGGTGACAACAACTTAACAATTCTCTAAGAAGTACCAAACTTTCCCTCATCTTCCTGTCTTCTTCTGAGCCTCCAAATTCTTCTAAGCTCTGCTCATTACCCAGTTCCAAAGCCACTTTCACACCTTCAGGAATCTTTATAGCAATGCCCCACTCTTCTGTATCAGTTTTCTGTCTGTCCATTTTTGTTGCTATAAAGGAATATCTGAGGCTGGGTATTTTATAAAGAAAAGAGGTTTATTTGGCTCACAGTCCTGAAGGTTGTTCAGGAAGCATAATGTTGGCATCTGGATCTGGTGAGGGCCTCAGGAAGTTTATAATCATGGTGGAAGGAGAAGGGGAGCCAGTATATGTTATGGCTAGAAAGGAAGCAAGAGAGGGAGCAGGGTTGACACACTCTTTTTAAACAAAAGGAGGTCATGTGAGATCTGGAGCAATATCTCACTCACTAACACAAGGACGGCAGCAAGCTATTTAAGAGGGATCCACACCCATGACCCAAACACCTCCCACTAGGCCCTACCTCCAACATTGGATGTCACATTTCCACATGTAATTTGGAGGGAACAAATATCCAAACAACAACACTTCACCTAATGTTACATGTGGGAAAACTTAGCTCCAGAAACATGAGATGGCTTACTCACAGCCATGCAGTAGAAAAGTTTGTCATCACCTAATTTTAAAACTCAAGGCATGGTTACCAAATAAAAGTTGTATGCATTTATGTTGTGCAGTGGGATGTTTTCATAAATCTTTACGTTGTAAAATGGTCAAATCAAGCCAGTTAACATATCTATCACCTCACATTTTTTGCAGTAAGCACTTTTACAATCTACTCCCCTAGCAGTTTACAAGTATACGATAGTCATCTAGTGTTCATTGAGAATTACTCTATATTTATTGCTCTTTTTTTTTTTAACATATGTCACCTCTTTTAATACAGCAACCCTATAAGACAGATGATTCAATATTATTCCCATGTTATGGATGACTCACCTAAGGTGTGGTGAGGGTGAAAACTTCACATGATTCCCCAGCTAGTAAGCAGAGTAGCTACAATTCAAACTTGGCAGGCTATCAAGGGCTCCCAAATTTCCGTCCTCTGATGTCTTTGTCATTCCATAAGCTTTTCTGTACTTCTGAATCAGTTATCTAAATGGCTCTTCAATTGTGCACAGTGGGCAGTGGTATTTTCCCGTTTCCTTTAAAAATAAACAGAGTTCCTTAAGACCATGGCGTACCTAAGGTTTCTGAGTAATTTACAATGTGCTCTTATCATTTTCTCTTTAATTGTAAACTATTTCAGTTAACATGCTCTTGTTTTCTTCTTAACGACTTAATGTGCTTCATTTCATAGAGGAATGAGATTGTAGTATTCCAGTTACACCTTCGTTATCCAAGTATCTTCCTAGTTGCTAGAGTTTCTCTCCCATTCTTTCTATTGAATTGATAGGAATCTGGTTCTTATAAAGGAATTACAAAATCGGACTTTTGTGTGCTACGAACCTTCTCCAGCTTGCAAAAAGAGACTCCACAGGAGGCTCCCTCAGAATAAGGCTATTTTGTTGAATGCTACAATGTTACTCGACAACCGCAGCACATCACAATGTGGGCGCTTGTGCCTGTGCATCACTCTCTTAATCTCTCCTCACCTGAGCGAAGCCCTGGGTGCAACTTTCTCTTTGGTGTGAAAAGAGGCTCCAGAGAGTAGCTGCTTTACGGATTCTGATGAATATCAGGAAATAACAGCAGGATCAAGGCTAGATAGCAGTAGAGTTATCAGAATGGGAGTGTAGGAACTATACACCAGCTCTGGCATCCCCTTATCGAATAATCATACATAATTAAATTGGGAAGGGAAAATGACTATTTTTAAACAAGCACATAAAGTATTATTTTGGAGACTGGTATAATATGAGCAAGCCAGCTATTCATGCTGTACCCAAGAGCTCAGACAGAACTAAATTATGCTTCAGATTAATGTATCGGTCAGTTCAAAGGTTAGACAAACAGCTGTTTCTCGAGGAGGCACACTACAAAGCTTAACTGTTCATTGGAAGGTCTGTAATGGTCTCAATGGATTCCCAAAGGAGTCTCTGTTATTTGTTTCTGATTGGGAGATATCCAAAGCTGACTCCATGCTACTGATGACCTTTATTGCTAGGGCAGGAGGGCCAAACTCTGGAGCCAGTGTGATTTGACCAGTCTCTGGGAAAGAAAAAGAAGAAGAAAAAAACACCCACACATGCGACATGTCTTCATTGACTCAAAGATTATGCACAGACCTGCAGTTTGGATGAGTGAAGGAATGCTGGAGGGTCAAGAAGTTTACTTGCTCATTTCTGCAGAAATGCAAAGGAACTTAAAATAGTAAGCCATTCAGTAACTCAGTTTACAGTAGTCAGGCTTGATTTGATGCAAAACTACATGACCGGAAGTTATTAAAGAAAGGAATGAAACAAGTTACATTTTCTTTCAACATTTACCATCATTCTCTTGATGATTTTGAGATACTTGAATAACTCTTCATTTAAAACAGCTAATTGTAAAATAAAATAAATCAAAATAAACCTCTAAGAGAATGGCAGAGAGAAGAGGAAGATAATTGAAACTAAAGTTGTAGATTGGTATACAGTATATTTGAAAATGATTATATTTAAAGTTAAAAGTATGTAAATTCAGGTGTCAGAAAGATAAGGTAACTTGGTAACTTCTTGAAGAGGTCCTGAGAGATTTTTAGGGGTTCCTTCATGGTGATTTCCAAAGTCTTCCAAGAACATGATCCATTTTTTTTCACTCAGATATTCATTATTTACTCACTCTAAGACACCTACCATTTATTGTTTACTGTTATCTTCATGCTTCCTTACGATAATTTACCATAATAATTCTTAGTTGTTTAAATTTTTATTTTGTCTCGTACATAAATTTTGAGTTAAGATTGATATAAATCTTCTTTAACTTTATGGCATTTCAGGACCAGGTGCAGTGGCTCACACCTGTAATCCTAGCACTTTGGGAGGCTGAGGTGGGCAGATCACTTGAGGTCAGGAGTTCGAGACAAGCCTGGTCAACATGGTGAAATCCAGTCTCTACTAATAGTACAAAAATTAGCCGGAAATTGCTTGAACCCAGGAGGCAGAGGTTGTAGTGAGCTGAGATCATGCCACTGCACTCCAGCCTGGGCAACAGAGCGAGACTCCATCTTAAAAAACAAAACAAAACAAAACAAAAACGTTATTGCATTTCCACAAGTCTATTCAATATTCACTGAAATCAAAAGAAAATTCTTGAACACTTATTAGAAACAGCAACTTGAGCTTTAAGGGAATAGAAGGAAAATATTTCTTAATAAGAAGATGTGGCTTCTACATAGACACCAGCATAAAATCTATAATATTCCTGGAGTGGGGGTATGGCTGCACCTCACCTTAGCTATTTATTTATTCAAATATTATTCATTAGGGTATTCACTGATTTATTTGACAAACATTTCCATATTCTATCTTAGAGTGAGTGTATTAGAATAGATATTTTACATTGACAAAATAATTATATGATTCTTGCTTGGTGTAAGTGCTAAAACAATGAAGATGGCACAAGAAGCAGCTATTGAGAAATGGTATTGGCACTTGGAGACAATTTGGAGTAGGTTGAAGGACCCATGTGTCTGAGAATATCTCCAAATTGAGCTTATATAGATTAGAGAACAATGGTGCCTCTGATAGACATAAGGATGTGGAGAATGAAACCAGTTTGAGGGAATGAGAGTAATGAATTAAACACATTAAGCCCTAGTAGCATTTTCACCAGGCAGATAAAGATAAGAAACTTGAAATTGGGAAAGTTGAAAAGACCTAGAGAGGGTTTTGAGAGTCATAAGTTGATAACTTCACCAGAGAGTCAGCAAGAAGAGAACAAAAGGATTTTTGAGCAGTCAAAACAGCCCAATTTCAAAAGCTTACATTTGTAATGAAATGGCTTCATTTTATCAGCTGCATGTTGAAGTCCACATGTAAAGAAAACCCACAATCAGGGTTATCTGGGTCTGAAAATTGTCACAGTAGGAGATCAAGGGGTTATATTGGCTCAGGAATGAAATGACCAGGTTGTCCGAGCCAGGAAGAAAGAAAGCTAAAATCAGAAAGGAGCCTTATATCTCACTCAGGTGTATTGATTAGGACCATGTGACTAAAGAGACCAACGAGCAAGAAGAGCAGGTTCAGTTGCAGCTGACAAGAGGGAGAAACTCACAGAAAGGGGTGCAGGGGGGTGCACTGGCAAAGGTACGTGGAAGGGCACTAAGACTGTGCTTCTGCAGTCACGCCCAGCTGTAGATTTTTCTCATCTGTATAGTGAGGCTACTTGACAGATAAATGAGGCACTGCAGGCAAGTCCAGTATGCATGTAAGACCTTGATCTCTCTCATCATTCTGTCTTCTAATATGATGCATTAAAAATAGGAGTGCTTAATAAATAGTAAAGTTGGTTAAATGGGCTGGGGATGGTGATTCACACCTGTAACCCCAGCACTTTGGGAGGCCGAGGTGGGAGGATTCTTTGAGGCCAGGAAGTATCAACTAGCCTGGGCAACATAGTGAGATCCCAAGTCTCTACCAAAAATAAAATAAAAATTACCTGGGCGTGATGGTGTGCATGTAGTCTCAGCTACTCCAGAGGCTGAAGTGGGAGGATTGCTTGAGCCCCAGGAGTTCAAGGCTGCAGTAAGCTATGATTGTGTCACTGCACTCCAGCCTGAGTGACAGAGAGAGAGACTCCATCTCTGGGGAAAAAAGAAAAAAAATTTAATAAATATTTAAATTAATTATGTCTATAGCAAGGGAGTGCTTTATGTTTAAATCTGGTGATATAAATCACACATCTTTGAACTGCATGAACTCTGTTCTTCCTGGAGATGACTGGTGTAAAATCAAAGATGCCAAGGAGATAGAAAGCTGGGGCCAAGCTTTTAGAGATATCATCAGGAATAACATTCACTCATGGCTATCACTAAGAGCAAATCATGCATCAGGTGCTGAGGTGAGATGAGGGGCAGCCGGCCAGGATCAAGAGCCCTTTATTTTGATTCTGAACCCGTCAAGAGCAAAGAAGAATGTCCTATTCATTTTTATATCTATAATGTCATTAAAAATGCCTGTCACATTTGTGTCTTAATCAATGAATTTGAAGAGGGATGTGGAATAGTTTGATGGTATATTCCAAATGAAGAAATGCCCTATGATTGTAGAAGCAGCACAAGGGAGCCAAGAGCAAGTTCTCTCCTTCATGCATTCATTCGTTCTCAGATAGGTATTGGATACCTACTATGCACTAGACTCTTTATTTGGCCCTGTGTATGCAAAGCTCAACAAGGCTAAAAATGTCCCTGTTATCACAGAGCTTAATTTGGTTGGAGAAGATATTTATTAAATATAATGTTGCATAAAGTAGGAAAAAGTGAAGCCTCTGTGGTAAAAGTGATTGAAATATATCAGATGATTTGAGAAAAGCCATGTTTAAGAGCTGGTATGGGAATAGGGCGGAGGTGGAAAACAATGGGATTTGATGGCAATAATGAAATACTAGTTTCAACAGGAATAATCTAGTCTAGTATTAGATCAACCAAGTGAGAAGGTGGGCTGAAATGGATTAGATCAATTGTTCTCATTCATCTAGAAGCATGTAGAACATGCAGATTTCAGGACCCATCCCTGGAAATACTGAATCAGTAGGTTTGGATGTGCCCAGGGTTACTGTGAATAAATACTCCAGGTGATTCCAATGTAGTCAGTTTCCAGACCTCAATATGAGAAACGCTGAGTTCAACTGAAAATTCAGGAGATAATTAGGAGAATGACTGAGAGTACTAGGCAGGATACTGGACCGGATGGGATTTAGATAGATGCATTTTGGTGCTACAAATGGGCTGTAGCACTTGTTGGCCTGAATGGATGCACTTTTTTTGGCTAAATCTGCTTATCTGAAGTTCCAACTCGTTACAAATTAGATTTAAAAGTTGTGTGCATAAAATAAAATTTTAGGATTTTATTTTTGTAGAAACCAGAGGAAAAAATACATTCAGGTCAATTAATTGATTGTACGACTTACAAAATCTTATTACAGGAAGAGGAATATAAGGGAAACAGAACTATGGTTATCAATATCTTTCTATTTTATATACTCTCTATTTTCTCTAAGTTAAAAAGAAGAAAAATTACTGTATATTTTGATTTCAATTTACTATAGAAGTTTTCAGTTTTATAGTCCATTTAATGTTGTTTATGATTTAAATGTTATAAAATGTAGAAAGTCCATGCATGAGGAAAAATACATAAATTGATGAATATCAGTGTGAGCATGGAGTTCACGCCTGTAATCCTAGCAATTTGGGAGGTCAAGGGGGTGTGGGTCACTTGAGGTCAGGAGTTCGAGACTGGCCTGGCCAACTTGGTGAGATGCCATCTCTACTAAAAATGCAATGGTGGCACACACCTGTAGTCTCCACTACTCAGGAGGCTGAGGTGGGGGGATCACTAGAGCACAGGAGGTCGAAGATGCAGTGAGCCAAGATTGTGCCACTGCACTCCAGCCTGGGTGACAGAATGAGACCCTGTCTCAAATAAATAAATAAATAAATAAATAAATAAATAAATAAATAAATAAATAAAAAGAAAGAAAGAAGAAATAAATTGATGAATATCTCAGTTGGGTATTTATCTGTATCCTTCATTCTAAGAACAACTGAATCTTTGAGGAAAAAAGAGAAACTTTTTTGTCTCTAATAGTAATTTACCTTTTTTTTTTCAAAAATAAGACAGTAATGAGATTAAAGTATTGATATAATTAGTATTCAACATTTTGAATTTGTGGCATTTCCCAATATGCTTCTATATTTGATCAGGTTAATTTGTACTTACCTGAAAGAACATATAATGTTATTTTAAACTCAAGCAATCAAGAAAGGTATTATTGAATTATACATTCTGTCTCCCTTAAAATAGGTTGCTGACTGCACATTCTCAGGCTTTACAGGGCTCCTGAAGATATTAATGATTAACTGAGGGAAGTACAGGATGAAACAATCTGGAGCCCTAGTGTAGGGATTCAAAGACCCCTGTGCTCATTTTCATTGAACATGTTGATAAGTTTCAGAAATTTTGATAGGATAGTCTTCCAAACATGTCCCTATTTTTTTCATGAATCTGAGTGAACATAAAGACACTATGCTGTCATCTCCCTGAGGATTTTGCCAAATTCTTGAGAAAAAAATCATAATCCAATATTTAAAAATACATGAATGACTGTGGTTAGTAATAATATAGAGCTTCAAACAACTAGAAGGAGGATATTGAATGTTCCTAAAACAAATAAATGAATAATGTTCTAGATGATGGATATCTCTAATTACCCTAACCTGATCACCACATATGATATGTATTGAAATACCACTATGTACTCCATAAATACGTAAAATCATAATTTGTCAATTTAAAAAATATATGAATAAAAGGACAATGAGAGAATTCAAAGGAGACAGCGTTGCATCATCTGTTGCCTTTTTAAGCTAGCTTTGGCTTTCCTGTTCCCTAGGACTATGGCTTGTTTCCAGCATGGAAGACTGAAAGAATTGGAGGTCTTCAACTTAGTAACCGTAAAGACATTGATGATCATTCATGGAATCATTTAGCATGAGATAGATGTGTGTGATGTCAATAGTCAATTGGTCTGTTAGTAAGTTACATGTTTTAAAGTTCAAGTAGGCAACTGTCCTAACAGAATTGGCTTTTCATGGAACATGAAAGTCAGAAAGTAAAGAATTATTGCATTTAACAGTTTTTTGGGTATGGTAAAAGTTTTGCAGGCCAAAATAGGATGTTACATTCCCTTGACACTGCTTGAAAAATTTGTTGCTGTAGATTTCATGGGAAAAGTTAAAATATTATTACATTATGCTTCATTGTAGGTTTAAGGAAAATATTTTTCAAAACCTCATACAACATATATGCTATAGTTGATTCCATTATTCATATAGGAACTTCTAATCTACTTATTTAGTCATGCTATTTATGATGACTCTGATGTTTTAAATAGTTAAGCTACTTAGTGGTTAAGAGTATGCCTCCTAACTCCTAATTATATTATAAACTCCAAAACTGTTGACTTTGCACTCAAGAGACCCTTAACAATTATATTTCTAATGGAAAAAACATCAGTTTTTTCAAAATTATAATACAGGTTTTGACTTGAGAGCATCATGATCAGCACAGCAATATCATCACGTACCCTTCCCAACCCAGGAGCCTTAATCTGAGCCTAATTCAGGAATGGTTGATCTATCTAATCCATGCTAGAGCAGGAGAAAAAGGTGCATTGTAGGTAAAGCTTGTATGGTTGACAATCAGTAACTTTCTTCTTTGTATCAGTTCAGTGTTCATTTTCCAGTTCTTTTTGCTCACAATTTCCATAGAATGGGACCTGGTTCTCACTTTCGAAGGAGCAAAAACTAAGAGAAGAGCCAAGGCTGTTTTGAGGGTTAACCCTAATTGTGGAGAGTAACAATAGCAGCTTGTCCTGCTGAGTCTGCTGCAGGACTCTCAGTAACCCCCTTTGCAAAGGTCTAAAGATAAAGAGAGCTCAAAATCCCATCTCCCTTCCAAATCCTGGGGATTAACACTGCTGTTATTTGCTCTTCATGCCAAGCCAGCCCAGAAGAATGGGCAGGGCCAGTCAGTGGGATAAATTCAGCAAATGGGAACAACTGCCCAACTTTCCTCATTCTCACTGGGAGCAATGATGACAATGGAAGTTTGATTTCCAAACACTGAAGGCTTCCACCTCCATATATGCAACTATAATAATGGTAATACTCAAGTAACTCAGACATGGAGCACAGACTGTGAGGGATTTACACCCGTTCACAAAGGAGAGTCAGTATCACAATCAGAATTGAAGTGATTTCAGAAAAATGTTTTTCCTGACTTCAGCCTAAACACAAAACCATGAACTGTTACAAGAGAATTAGCAAAGTATTAAATTATGAAATAATTTCTTTTTAATGCTTGACATGGCATAAGAAGGATGGGCTAATTTATCTTAATGTGGTTTTTATTTTATTTTTAAAATAATGAGATAACTCAATGGAGTGATTAACATTCTAAAACAACAAACGATCATATTACTGCAAGGTCCTGACTTACTGTAAAGTCTCAGAGGTAAAAACGCTTTGAGTCGACAGTGAAACTCCATCCTCTTGTACTTAGGTATGGCTCCACATAAGGTAGAGCGTGTCTGGTGCCCTGCTGTTTGGAAATGACCCAAAGGCAGGAGTGGAAGATGAAGTTTCAGCAGGAGAGACTGAGGATCTCAGAGGATTTGCTCTGGGATGCAGAGACGCTTGCCTGTGAGTTACAATTTCCAAAGAAGGCTTCACTAGTAGTTTTGAACAATTGTGACTGGGTCTCTTGCCCTGAGCCGGTAATGGGAGGCTCTGTAGTTATTACAGTGTGTTGACTCTGGATGGCAACCCTGGAAAGTTTTAGAAGCAGGGAAACATTACATGGAGTCTTGAAAGACATAACTCAGACATGCAAAATACGTTTTCTCTGACATTTCTTTCTCTCTCTCTGTTTCTCTCACTCTGTTTCTCTCACTCTGTCTCCATTTCTCTCTCTTTCTCTCTTTCATCTGTTTATTTCCCCCTTAGCAGAAATCATGCATTGCATAAAATAAAACTGACTAGTAAGTGTTTTATCTTTCAAATATGTTTTCTTTACTTATCATATAAGAGGTACTACAACACGAGAAATATTACAAAATGGTGATTTTCTAGCCAGCTGAAATTGAGATTTCTCCAAACGTTATTTTAAAAATTTAAAGCTGGTGGCACCTTCCTGTTACAAATTATCATTTAGAAACTTGCTATTTGCTGCTAAGTGGTTTTAAACTTTAATATTGACAACATTAAGATTTGGTGCACCATAGCATTTATAAGGAAAATGCCAGCCTGCAATTGTGAAAAGCTGGAAATAAGCTTGGAATTATGCTCCCATTAGAGATGCTGGTCTCTTGTTGCCTGAAGTGTCAGTGGGGAGGGAGGAAAAGTTCTTTTGCACAGTAAAACTTACCATATGGGCCCTCACCTAAGCGAAAGCTCCACTGATGTATAAGATGAGAACCTGGCCTTGGAGGTGAATGAGCTGCTGAAATCTGATCAGCCAAAGGCCAATCTGCAGGAGGCTGTCATCGCCTCCCAGAGTTTGCAAAACTTAAAAGGGAACCACTTTCGGGTTCAGGATTTTCTAGAAAAGACTATTGGCTATTGCTGATCCTGAAGCATTGCAGCAGGTCTCATCTTTTGATTAATTTGTATTGTTTGTGGTGTTTCATTTGTTTTGTCTTGTCTTGCTCAATCCTTGATTTCTCTGTTCACCTCTGCATTGTATATTCTGTGCACCCAAAGCCTGGATAATTTCATCTGGGAAGATAAGATCTTCTGTAAGTACTTTACTTCTGGCTGGTTTTCCCTGTATCACTCATCCTCTTCCCTGCCACTGCTGTCTTACAAAACCTAGGCTACACCCTTATTTTTGCCAGGGATTCACAGAAATGTTTTGCTTTGAAGTGTGCACCTGCTGGTGATGCATTTGTGAATCATTTTGTAAAATGCATATGTGATTTAGCAATATAAAGATAATACCTTCCTTGTAGAGACCAGTGAGTCAATATTTCACAGAGGAGCCATGTCTCAAAGGAGAGGACAGTAAATCTCCATCCCATAATGATCACACCCTTCCAACATCATTTCTTCTTTTAGATGGATTTATTTTTAGAGGATTTGTTTTAGTATGTATTATTTGAGATTACAAGAATCAGGTTTGTCTGCACTCAGAAAAGTTGTTCCGAAATTCTGTGAATATTGCTTGCAATGTGACCTTTTAAAATCTAAATTATAAATCATTTTTACAAGTAGGATATTTTCTCTTCCTTTTGTAGTGTACACTTTAACTTTGGAGTAAACTTATGCCAAACCCTTAAAACAACATCACTTTGGGTATTAGAATTTCCAAACGCAAAGAAAGAAAACATTGTTAGAGAGTTCAAAATCAGCTAAGGCTTATTTTCATTGTGTTAAATGGTTAATGCACATGAGATGGCTGTGGAATAAGAGAATGAGTTCTTAGCTTGGAGTTCTTCCATGTTCGGTGTGAGATTTAAACAAGACGATGGTTGTGGACCGCCCAGCACAGGGCCTGGAATATTAGATGTCCAATACTGCTAATTGTGTCTGAGACTGAGTGGTTCAAGGCCCCAGATACTGTGAACATATAGTTGAGATTATTACCATAGAATAAGTCCAAAACACAACAGCTAGAACAAAGGTGAAAAGTATATTCTATCTAGTTTAATAATTAGTTCCCATCAATATTCTTTCTTTTGATGGTAATATTCCCCCAGCTCACCTAGAAAGCAGAGAAGCTACAATGATACAGATTTTCAAATGTGCATCCTGAAAAGGAAAAAAGAGGAAGAAGAGGATGAAGGGGAGGAGGGAGAGGGGAAGAAAAAGAAGAGAAAGAGGAAGACAGAAGAATAATTAACCGTATTATGCTAAGCACTTGAAGTGGGAAGCATTATAATGTAGTAGTTAAAAGAAAAATTGGGAGTGAGACTGCCTGGGTTCAAATCTTGCCCTAATACGTAAGAGCTGTGTGACCTCAAGCAAGTGAATTAATGCCCCCAAGCCACAACTTTCTCTTCGTTGAAACGGACATGTAATCTTACCTACCTCCAAGGATTGTTGTGAGAATTAAATGTGAGACTAAGTCTAATGCATTTAAATAGTACCTGTCTCTTTGTAAGTAATAAAGATTAGCTATCATTATACATTGCCTCCAGTGCTTATAACAACCCTTTAAAGTAGGAACATTTTTCTCACTTTTCCAAAGATAAGCACATTTCTTAATGGCAAAGCTGAGAAAATTCAAGTGGACTCCAAATTTGAAGAATGAAGTTGGAGTCTTACCTTACACCATATACAAAAATTAAGGGGATTAAAGACCTACACGTAAGAACTAAAGCTATAAAAATCCTAGAAGAATACATAGGGGAAAGCTTTATAACATTGGATTTGGTAATTATATCCTGAATATGACACTAAAAGTATAGGTAACAAAAGTGAAAGTAGATCTACTACATAAAACTCAAGCACTTCTATGCCTCCAAGGAAATAATTAACAGAGCAGCTGGGCGTGGTGGCTCACGGCTGTAAACCCAGCACTTTGGGATGCCGAGGCAGGTGGATCACTTGAGGTCAGGAGTTTGAGACTAGCCTGGCCAACATGGTGAAACCCCATCTCTACTAAAAATACAAAGATTAGCCAGGCATGGCAGCACACACCTGTAATCCAAGCTACTCGGGAGGCTGAAGAATCGCTTGAACCTGGGAGGCGGAGGTTGCAGTGAGCAGAGATCGCATCACCGCACTCCAGCCTGGTGACAGAGCCAGACTCTGTGTCAAAAAAAAAAAAAAAAAAAAAAAAAAAAAAAAAAAAAAAAAGAAAAGAAAGAAAAGAAAAAAAAAGAAATAATTAACAGAGCAAAAAGTCAACCTACAGAATGGAAGAAAATATTTTTAAATGATATATTTAATAAGAGCTTAATATCTAAAATATAAATAACATCTAAAACACAACAACAAAATAACCCAACTTATAAATGGGCAAAGGACTTGAATTAAAATCTCTCTGAAGAAGGTATACAAATGGCATGAAAATATGGTCAGCTTCACTAATCATTAGAGAAACACAAATAAAAAGAGCAATGAGCTATCACTTCACACTTATTAGGATGGCCACTAAACAAACAAACAAAAAACAGTTTAAAAAATCCAGAAAATAATAAGTGATGGCAAGAATGTAAATAAATTGGAACCCTTGTGCATTGTTGGTGGAAATGTAAAATGGTGTAACCACTATAGAAAACAGAATGGAGTTTTTCAAACAGTTAAAAGTAGAATTATGCACTTATAATGAAGCCATCCACATCTGGGTATATACCCCAAATAATTGAAAATGGAATCTTAAAGAGATATTTGCATACCTGTGTTCCTCGTGGCATTATTTACGATAGTCAAGAGATGGAAGCAACCCAAATGTCCATGGACAAATGAATGGATAGATTAAATGTAGTATATAGATTCAACGTAATATTCGCATTAAACTGGGAAAAATCCTGTCACGTACTACAACACAAATGAACCTCGAGAATATTATGCTAAGTGAAATGAACCAGTCGTAAAGCAACAATGCTGATTGATTCCACTTGCACGTGTTATCCAAAGTAGTCAAACTCATAGAAACAGAAAGGATGCTGATTGCCTGGGGCTGAGGGGGGTGGAGAAATGGAAAGTTTTTGTTCAATGGGTGGAGAGTTTCAGTTTAGCCAGGTGAGAAACTTTTGGGGATCTGTTCCACAGTAATGTGAATATGGTTTACGCTACTGAACTGTACATTTAAAAGTGATTAAGAGTAAATTTTATGTAATGTGTTTTTCAGCACAATTAAAATTAGTAAATAAATTAAAATTTATATAAATGTAAATATGGAGTATTGAGAAAAAATGTGGTGGATAAAGGTTCGATGTGGCAATGGATCGTTGAAAGAAAGCCTACAAAGTAAAATATTTTCAAAATTAATATTCAAAAAATATTTATACTTGAATTCCATCCCACTGGGCATTTATCAAACAATTCTACCTGCATAACAAAAAGCTCAGCATGTAATGCATATTTAATATTTGTCGAGTAGATGAATCTTTAATACATGTATTTTTAAATGATGTTTTCCAATGATAAATTCAAATAAAACTTTCTTCATTAAAAACACCTACTGTGTTAGCATTTTCCCTAAACCCTGAAGAAGTTGTTAGCTTTTTCAATGATAATTTCTGGAAACAATCTGATCAAAACTCTTTGGGAGGAAGCGATTACATATACAATAAATTAATTCAAGTAGGGGAGAAAATCTTTGCCTTGTAGCACTTGAGAAAATGAAATTGCATGGTGCTCTGAGTAGGGCTCTGAAAAAGGTGTTTTTCTCACCTTGGGGTTAAAGAGACAAAGAAGTAGAAGGAAACATCAAAGATGAGAAGAAAGAGTGAAGAAAAAGACGAATGGTAGAAGAGATGCATGGATAAAGGAAGTAATATTCAAAGAGGGGGAAAAATGGAAAAATGAATGAACTTAAGAAAAAATAATCTAGGGGTTGGAGATCAAATAGAATTACCCTATTTAAAGGGAAACTCCATTGAACTGAACTAGAAACAGAAAAGTACCACGTTTGGCAGGAGTGAGGTTCTACTACAAGTAACAATATAGAATTATTAGGTAGGGATTAGGATAGCATTTGTTAGGGACCTAGGGACCTTCACACATTGAGAGATGAAGGAACTTGAACTAGATTTACAGAAGTGATACAATACAAATACTGGTGGTTAGCAAATATGGCAGACAGAGCTAGATGTGATAGAGAGGTTATGTGGAGCCAAGGCCACCTGTGTAAACCCCAGCAAGAACTTCCTCTTTATCTTGAGAGAAGCAGGGACTTGGGACTATGTTTTGTTGAGCTCCAGATAGCACTGTCACTCTTTCTTGTATTTCTCTTCAATTCATTGTGTTACCCACTAATGTTCTTCCATGCACTGTATAGGGTTTAAGCAATGTGCCTTGACATAACCTCTTTGTGACTTCTCATTTTTATAAGCCATACTCAAATAATATATTGTCACTCTTCAAAACCATGAATTCCAGGATTGTTTCAATCCCAGGCTAATTCCTGTACCACATTTACCTGTATATTGGGTAATCTATTAGCAGCCTATAGTCTCCTTGTGAATTATATTAATGAGCAGTTTATCTGTTTTCTTTGTGCCTTGGTGTCCTCAGCTGTAAAATATCGATACAAATAGTACCCAATATATAGGATTTTTTGAGATGAATGATGGTGTTACTAAGTGCAAAGTGCCTAGAATAGTGTCTGCTATGTAATAAGCGGTATATGTGTTAAACCTTTTAAACTATTATTGTTTTTTATATAAACAAATGAGTAAAACATGAACAAGCTAAAATATCTCATAGCAGACACTTCATATTGGAGGCATGATAACTTGTAAATATCAGTGAATAGTGGTTAATTTATTATAAACCAAGTTATACATGTTTGACCCTTTTTCTTTCTACCTTGTGTAATGTTTGATTTGGGGTTGATGAAATGGATAAATTAAACCTAATATGAATTTTGGGGAGTAGCATGGAGTTTAAACATCAGTGGCATGTTATGAACCAAATATTGCCTGGGAGCAGAGATTTTTATTCCTTATTCCCTATTTAATCATCTTGAGTAGTCCCATTATTTTTAAAAACTTAGTAACTTTTTAATGATCATAGAACAACATTACATTCTGTAAACGGCATATGAATTCTGGAGACAAAGGAAACATTGAACAACTAGTATCCACTGACATACAGAGAATAAATTGAAGGTAACCAGATTCAATTATCTAGTCACCTAGTGTATTTACAAAACCAGAATGTGGTGAAAATGCTACTGTTATTATCAATACTATGTGAAAAACTAAATGAGATATCTTTACAGAATTATTGCCTTGTCTGATGGGCTGCAAGTCCATGAGAACAGGATCCCAAAGTTTAAAGAGTGTTACTGTAGTTACTGAAAGATGAAAGACCAGATTGTTCTAGTAGCAAAACTGTTATCTTCAGCATTAAGGTTTTCTCCTAGTAGCCATTGCCAAGTGTTAATAGTTCTTTGTATCTCTAAGATATTTTTAAAGGACTCAATAAAGTCAGGGTGTCCAAAATCATAAGTTGACGCTCACTCTTAATTACTTGAGGAACAAAAATAATTGTTCCCTAAAGGAAAAAATAGTTAAATTAGGGTATAATTTCAAAAATCGGAGCCATAAAGGTGACAAGGTATGTTTTTACTCTATTATAATGTCCTTTCTGTGACACTCCAAGTCCATTTCTACCAACAGGAACAACTTTCTTTTTTCCCAACATATCATGAAACATTTAGCTTCCTGGGGTTATTAATCACACTTTGCACTTAAATGGCCTGAGTTTGAAAATGCAGTGCCTAGAATTCTATAAACAGTCATTCATTCTTTAAAAAAAAAAAACTTCAGGAGGTTATATGTTCCGTGCTCATCTTATCCCAATTATTCAGTTTCTGGAATTATCATACGCTTGCCATTTTCAGAGGATCCATGTCCATTGATGTTTTCTCTAGGTATAAAGCTGCTGATAGTTTTGATAACATTCAAACTGAAATTGTTGAAAGAACCTAGTCTTTTGCCCTAACTCATAGCCATATTTCACTCTTGTGCATTTTTGCTTAGAGGTCAGTTTTTCTAGGAAGCCTTCTCTGATGCTGGGGTTAGCTCTTCCTGCTAGGTGCTCGCACCACCCTCTGTGTGTTGAATGTGATAGTACCCACGTGTATGATATCTTGCTTATGTAATTATATGTTTCCAAAATGACACTGTAGGTAAGATCTAAGGATGTAATTTGCTTTATTCTTATCACCTTTATGAGTACTAGCAAGATGCTCATAGTAGCAAATAGATTTTTGTTACTGAATAGTGAATGCTATATGGCTTTGAAATTCTGAGTATAATTCAGTCTCATTCAGGAATTAATTGTGTGACCTACAAAAAATTCACTAAGCTTTCTAGTTATCAGTATATTTTTGCTAAAAATAACAATGCTAACATTTTGGAAGCAATTTTTATGAACCAAGTGTGAGCAATGAATTAACCCATTCAATCTTATACAAATCCTACAAAGTAGATACTCTTATTATCCCTAATTTAGGGTTGAAAGAATTAAGGCCTGGAAGGATAAAACAACCTGTGTATTGGCAAAGCAAGTAAGTGGTAGGATTGGGAATTTGAATCTAGACATTGAGAGTCAAGAACTTAGGCTCTTAGCCATTACACTATACGGCGTCCCTAGACACTTAACATAATTTTTCAGTTCCATTTCAAAATTAGCAGGGAATGGTGGCTCACGCCTGTAATTCCACACTTTGGGAGGCTGAGGTGAAAGATGACTTGAGCCCAGGAAGTCGAGGCTGCAGTGAGCTCTGTTTGGACCAATGCACTTCAGCCTGGGTGACAGAGTGAAACCTTGTCTAAGAAAAAGATACAAATAAAATAAAATTTAAAAAAAGACTTTTCCACTGATTGAATCAGGCTATAAAACCTAGTTCAACTTTTTCATTTCTTCTATAGCTATTAGCTCAAAAGCTTGCTGATTTTTAACATTGTTATTTGTAAAATAGTTATAATAATGTTTACCTTGCAGTGTTTATCTGTAATTAAATACACTAGTGCCCATAATGTACCAGCATTTAATAAACAACATAATTATCTCAGGGTTGGAAAAATAAAAATAATTGGTATGCTCATGCAATTTCATTCAAATAAAAGAATGCTTAGTTTTAGAATATATATTTCTGAAGTACCATATAATTGAAAGAACAGGAAATGCTGATTATTTATTTATTTATTTATTTTGAGACAGAGTCCTGGTGTATCGCCCAGGGTGGACTGCAGTGGCGCGATCTTAGCGCACAGCAACCTCCACCTCCTGGGTTCAGGAGATTTTCCTGCCTCAGCCTCCAGAGTAGCTGAGATTACAGGCCCACACCACCGAGCCTGGCTAATTTTTTTTTTTTTTTTTTTTTTTTTTTTTGTATTTTTAGTAGAGACGAGGTTTCACCATGTTAGCCAGGCTGGTCTCAAACTCCTGACATCAGGTGATGCCCCTGCCTTGGCCTCCCAAAGTGCTGAGATTACAGGTGTGAGCCACCGCGCCCAGCCAGGAAATGCTGATTTTTTTTCTTTTTTAAGCCAGAATTATTAAAATTAAGGATTTGCAGAGGCTTGGTTATTTTGGAAATTCCAAGTTTTCCAGATGCTTTGAGGTAACACTTCATCCCAAGCCAATAGCAACGTCTTGATTAAAACACAGACACTGCTGTTAGCAAGAAAAAGAAAACAAATCCTGTCTTATTGAATTAGGCAGATCATAATAGCCCCAGTTTTCATATAAGGAACCAGTGGCCCGTGTATCTATCGTCAAACTGGTAGTAAACAGTAGATTCAGGATGGAAAATGGATCTGTCTGAATCAAAGGCTCTGTACTCTTTATTGTTATGTTTTTTGCTGTTTGAAAACATGTCCTTTCATAATATGTACCTTCTTTTACCATGCCCACATGGCTTGACTTAGCTTCTTTTCAGGGGACTCAACTCCAAGGAAGCCCAGTCATTCACTCAGCATGTTACTGATGATGTACACCATGGGTCCTCATCCTCCAGGGCACTGATTGGTACCAGTTAGGAACCAGACCACAACAGCAGGAGGTGAGCGGTGGGTGAGCTAGCAAAGTTGTCTGTATTTACAGCTGCTCCCCATCACTTGCATTACCACCTGAGCTCTTCCTCCCGTCAGATCAGCGGCAGCGTTAGATTCTGGTAGGAGCGCAAACCGTGTTGTGAACTCTGCATGCCAGGGATCTAGGTTGCGAGCTCCTTATGAGAATCTAATGCCCGATGAGCCGTCACTGTCTCCCATCACCCCCAGACGGGATCATCTAGTTGCAGGAAAACAAGCTCAGGGCTCCACTGATTCTACATTATGGTGAGTTGTGTAATTATTTTATTATATATTAATAATACAATGTAATAATAATAGAAATAAAGTGCACAATAAATGTAACACAATTGAATCATCCTGAAACCATCCACTTCACCTTCCCTCTGTGGAAAAATTGTCTTCCATGAAACAGGTCTCTGATGCCAAAAAGTTTAGGGCAGCACTGATGTACATACACAGTAGATAGTTACATGCTGTGTGAACATCAGGCTTTCTGGAATTAAACATATCAAGGAAAATCACATTGTTTCCCTTAATTTCCAAAAATATTTACTAATAATGTTTTAATTTTATACTATTAGAGTTTAGCTATTCTATTATTTTTTTTTTCTAAATTACCAGACCTGAATAAGCTTTGTTTCCAAATGCACTAATCTAATCAGGTCACGAGGCAGAATCTTCTCAAAGAGAGAGGGGGAGAAAAAACCACTTGTTAAATGGGCATTCCGCCAATCTCAAGGAATGAACACAACATTTTCAGAGTCTTCAGAATATTAAGAACAGTTCATAAGTAAAAGAAAATAGGAAATAAAGACCGGAGGTTGGAAAGCCTGGAGTCAGTTCAGACTGTCTGAATCACTTATGTTATGGTGGTGATTTGAGCTGACAAAATGTTATTGGAGGGATCACTCTCCTCAACACTGTTTGCTTTGGGAAGTCAGGCAGAGATTTATTATGGCTGAAAGCCCTTACAGCTGTCGGATGTAGTGCTGGGTTAAGAGAGTTGAAAATATCAGCTGAAATTAATAGTATGATTTGTGATTTTGAATATTTGCAACAGTTGCAATGGAAAGGGGAAAAAGTCAGAGACCTCAGTTTTGTTCTACATCTATGATTATACTGGGTTGTAAAAAAAAAGTCTCACTGTATAAGGCAAGGGAAAGGGAAATCTAGTATCCACTGAGTAAAGTTCAGACATCTGAAAGGCTGATATAAAAGACTGGCAATTAGTGGATGGCATTTAGATGTAAGTAAAGGTGTTAGATTCAATACGTAGAATGATATGAGAAAGAAAACCCTGGAAGTGACATCTTTCCAGAGAATGTTCCTCTTGTAAAGTAACAATCACTACCATTCACAGGTATCTATAAAGATACCAAGCTAAATGTATTTGGAAGATAAGATGGGTATATACCTACATGCACAATATATACATAGATTGCACAGAAAGTAATTTTAAACTATTAATCATGTTTAATATTTGTATCTCTACATATTAATTGCTATAATTATGTCTATCTATCTTTGAAAATGTAAGCTCAATCAAATGCTAAGGGAAAAACTTCAAGTTTTGCTTCCATTTTTTAGGTCTGTAGACACAATGAAGAAGTGTACATATCTTTTTTTTGCCTTCATTAAATCATTTATATATATATATATTTTTATTATACTTTAAGTTCTAGGGTACATATGCACAATGTGCAGGTTTGTTACATATGTATACATGTGCCATGTTAGTGTGCTGCACCCATTATCTCGTCATTTACATTAGGTATCTCTCCTAATGCTATCCCTCCCCCCTCCCCCCACCCCACAATAGGCCCTGGTGTGTGATGTTCCCCTTCCTGTGTCCAAGTGTTCTCATTGTTCAATTCCCACCTATGAGTGAGAACATGCTGTGTTTGGTTTTTTGCCCTTGCAATAGTTTGCTGAGAATGATGGTTTCCAGCTTCATCCATGTCCCTACAAAGGACATGAACTCATCATTTTTTATGGCTGCATAGTATTCCATGGTGTATGTGCTGTATTTTCTTAATCCAGTCTATCATTGTTGGACATTTGGGTTGGTTCCAAGTCTTTGCTATTGTGAATAGTGCCACAATAAACATGCGTGTGCATGTGTCTTTATAGCAGCATGATTTATAATCCTTTGGGTATATACCCAGTAATGGGGTTGCTGGGTCAAATGGTATTTCTAGTTCTAGATCCCTGAGGAATCGCCACACTGTCTTCCACAATGGTTGAACTAGTTTACACTCCCACCAACAGTGTAAAAGTGTTCCTATTTCTCCACATCCTCTCCAGCACCTGTTGTTTCCTGACTTTTTAATGATCGCCTTTCTAACTGGTGTGAGATGGTATCTCATTGTGGTTTTGATTTGCACTTCTCTGATGGCCAGTGATGATGAGCATTTTTTCATGTGTCTTTTGGCTGCATAAATGTCTTCTTTTGAGAAGTGTCTGTTCATATCCTTCCCCCACTTGTTGATGGGGTTGTTTGTCTTTTTCTTGTAAATAGAAGTGTACATATCTTAATGATCTTAATGAGTTAAACAGATTTCTGTGATGTAGAACTACTTATAGTTAACATGCATTATGAAACCTTAAGCATAGGAATATTTTATACAGTGGTTTCTAAACTGACCTGGCTATGGAATCCCTTTCTCTGGAATAATCGCATGGGTCAGTTCCCTCTGATCACACTTTAGGAATTTTTTTCTCTGAAAAGAATGTATGTGTTGAGAAGTTCTGTCGTAAATTGTCTTAGATAACTATGCTTATCAGGCATGTAACTCAGAATATCGATACCTAAGCATAATAGGGATTCAATAAATTGTTGAATGAATTAATACATGTAATAAACATTATGCCTATGCTCCTGTCATCTTAAGTGGTATCCACCCAGCCTGCTGTCATTTAAAAGACATATTTGTTCAAATTTAAGCAAAAATGCCCACACATCTTGTAGGCTCTGGTATCTCAGTCTTAACATGTACACACAGGTGATATGACCTAGGTCACTATATTGTTGTTATATCCTAAATGTTAGCTAAGTAGATACTATGAGAATGTACGAAAAATTGGTGTTTCGTGTGTGGGGGGCAGAGGAGGGGTTTGTGGAATATGCCTATTTTGACTGGATCAACTTCTGACTTCATCAAGTTGGTTATATTTGTATCAAAATACTATAGACATAAGTTGATGAAATATTTTCCTCCCTAACTATTATGCATAAGTCTTCCTGACTACCTTCTTTACCCCCATCATTTTATTACCTTTTCATGGTTTTGTTTCTGTTCAGAAATTGGTTAATATTGTAATGGCATAAAGTGCAGATGAAAAATCCACTGAAAGAGGCTGAATCCCTACTGTGAGTAATTATTTGTACATAATACTCTTTTATTTTTGAGACAGGGTCTCACTCTGTCACCCAGGCTGGAGTGCAGTGGTGCCATCACAGCTCACTGAAGTCTCAACCTCCCAGGCTCAGGTGGCCCTCCGGCCTCAGCGCCCCGAATATCTGGGACCACAGGCGCACATCACCACATCTGGCTAATGCTTTCTATTTTTTTGTAGAGATGGGGTCTCACTATATTGCCCAAGCTGGTCTTGAACCGCTGAGCTCAAGTGATTTTCCCACTTCAGTCTCCCAAAGTGCTGGGAATTACAGGTGTAAGCCACCACACCCAGCCAAATAATACTTTTTAATCATGAAAGTCCCTCATGTCACTCTGCCCCATTGCTTCAAATCACTCGTGGCTTCTGAGTGAACTCAGGAGGAGAGCCCACATTATCTGCTTAGTCTCATCTCCAGTCTCATCTCAACACCTCCCACACCCATTACATTTACCCTTCTCTTGGTTTCTTAAATACCCCATACCAGTTGCCCATGCTGCTACCGTGATCAAAATGCCCAGTCACCCCAAACAACCCCCACACTCTGGTCTAGAGCAGGTCTCTTTGTTCTTAGTTATCTCCTCTCAGAAAAGTACACTGCTTATCTTCAGAGCATTTGCCTTAGGTCCTAATTATATATTCCTTAGTGGATGACTTGAACAGTTCCCAGCTAGACTCTAGACTCTAAGCTCCCTGAGAACAGAAGCCGTATTGGTGTAGCTTTCCCTTAAAGTTCCCCTAGAAAGCAGAACACACTCAACTGTGGCAACTATTTATTGCACAAATGAACTGTATGCATTGTTTTCTTTAGCCTGACATGGTTTCTGCTTTTTCTCTGAGTATACTGTTGGAAAGATAACACCAAGTGGTAAGTGGAAAGACAAGCAATGGACTGAAAGATAAAAGTAGGACAAGATTCCCCCTGTGGCTCAGTGTGTGGCCCAGGAATAAGCTCTTGAGTCTAACAAAACTTTATGTAGCATGGTGTTATAGGCTGAATTGTGTGCTCTCAAAATTCATATGTTGAAGTTCTAACCTCCAGTAGCTCATAGTGTGACTGTATTTGGGGAAAATACATTTAAGGTGGTAATTAAGGTAGAATGAGGTCCTTAGTATGGAACAAAATCCAGTATAACTGGTGTCATTATAAGCAGACATCAGGACATACACACACACACACACACACACACACACACACACACACACACACACAGAGAGAGAGAGAGACAGAGAGAGAGAGAGACAGAGAGAGAGACAGAGAGAGAGAGAAGGAAAATGATATGAAGACACAGGGAAAAAATGACAAACCAAAGGAGAGAGGTCTCAGAAGAAATAACCTCATTTACAACTTGGTCATGGCCTTCCAGCTCCAGAACTGTGAGAAAAAAAATTTCGATCCTTTAAAACACCCAGTATATGAAACTTCGTTGTGGCAGCCCTAGCAAATAAAAACATAGCATCGCCTTTTTTAGCAGGATGCTGCAATCTAAGTTTTTTCTGCCCCTACCTAAGGAAAGCACAGCTCTCTAATCCATGCCCCAGACAGGAATATTTTCTCCACTCCACTCTGTTCTAAAGCAATGGGAATAGATACTTCCATGCAGGATATTTTGTTTACTTCCAAGGCAGAATAATTCGTTCTAAAGAGAGGCGCATCCCCAACTAAGGGCTGTTACCTTAAAGCATGCCATAAGGAAATCTAAGGCATAAAACATCAACTACTTCAAAAATTCCATAGGATTATTAAGGCAGCTGCAATTCATTAGAATTTAGAATATTTGCTGGGAATCTACTGGGTGGAAAGTACTGTAATAGGTACCGTGTAGAATATAAAGGTAAATATGACATTGTCCCAGCTGCGCAGAGTCCCACTTCATTTCAAGTGGGACGAGAAATGTGCATCAGTGTCATCTCAGAACATTTGGGGGCCATTTCCTTCAAGGAGGGCAAACTCATTCTGATTGACATAGATTTTATTCCCATATTGTCCACACAAAATGACTCTGTTTAATATATTGTTAAACATGAGCCTGCATAGAAAGCTTTCTTTTTTTTATCTCAAATAATGTAGACTACTCATATGGTTTGGATCTGTGTCCCCACCCATATCTCATGTTCAATTGTAATACTCAATGTTGTAGGTGAGGCCTGGTGGGAGGTGATTGGGTCACGGGGGCAGTTTCTAATGGTTAAACACCATCCCTGTAGGTGCGGTTCTCATGCTAGAGACTGAGTTCTCACAAGATCTGGTTGTTTAAAAATTTGTATTACCTCCCCTCTAGCTCTCTTCCTCCAGCTCCCACCATGTAAGATGTGCTTACTTGCATTTTGCCTTCCGCTATGATTGTAAGTTTCCAGAGGCCTCCTCAGCCATGCTTCCTGTTCAGCCTGTGGAACCATGAGCCAATTACACCTCTTTTCTTTATGAATTACCCAGTCTCAGGTATTTCTTTATGGCAGTGCGAGAACAAACTACTACAATTATCTTATTTTAAATATGGGAGTAAAACATGTACTTAATTTTTATAGAATACTCCTTTTAAAAGTAGAAGAACTTTGGAGAGGAGATTAACTTTAAAAATAATTTTAACACTTAAAATATATCAAAGACTGTTCAAATTTCCTTATAAATATTCTCATTTACTCCTTCCCCCCAGTCTGAAGAGTTTGTTTCTGTTGATTCCTGCCTTGCAGATCATGAAAGAGAAATTTGGGAAGTTTGAGTTGCTTGTCAAAGATTACACAGCTAGCAAGTAGTAGAGACAGACATCAAACCTAACTGATAAGAAGGTCTCTCAGTCACCATGCTGTACTGCTACATTCATTTTTATAACATATAACTGAAGTAAGTCTTTCCCTAAATTTGAGTGTCTTGGAAACCAAGGGACCCTTAAAACAGAGGGTTCTATGTAAATATTCATTTAATATTTGGCACATAGTAAAGGTGGAAACAGAACTATTTCTAGATAAAGCAAAGTAAAATATGCACTTTTAGATAGATTTCCTAATCTAATTACCACTGCAATACTAATATCCATATCACAGGGAAAATTTCCTATCAACACAGCTTCATGTTTAAGTTCCATATCAACACTCTTAGGAAAAACAGCCCTTAAAGCTGGTAGAGTAAAAAAAAGAAAAAAAAAAAGGAAGAAAAGGAGAAAAATAAAAAGAAAAATAAAGCTGATAGAGCAGATGCTTTAAGGAAACTCCACACTCTAAATTACAGCAAGGTGAGGTTATTTTTTGTTTGTACTTATGGCTCATGGATAATTGGCCAGCCTTCAATGTCAGTCATATTCAGAACACATTGAAAAACACAACCAAATCCTGTTTCCATTATATAATTTTGGTAAAAAGAAAAGATTGGGACTAATGTACAAGTGACATATACAGTAGTAGTGCAAAGGTGAGTAAAAATAATTTTCAGTTCTAGTGGGACATAGACACCTCTATTAAGATATCAGAAAGATGTTCTCCTTTAACGAGACTCAACTTCCCCTCAAAAATGTATTCCTAATGTTTTTTTTTATTCTATAGCTGTTGTCTTACAACTGAAATAATAATAGTCTAATTCATGTCTCTAAATTAATTAGATAGGAAAACTGATTTCCTGTAATATTTGAAAAATTAAATGCTAGGTCTGAATGGAATTTCAAGTTAATGGCTATCAACATTGCAAAAGGTGAAGTGAGAAATTAGTACCAAACACAGCGTGTTCTAACTCATAAGTGGGAGTTGAACAATAAGAACACATGGACACAGGGAGGGGAACATCACACACCAGGGCCTGTCGGGGGTGAGGGACTAGGGGAGGGATAACATTAGGAGAAATACCTAATGTAGATTACGGGTGCAGCAAACCACCATGGCACGTGTATACCTGTGTAACAAAATTGTACCTTCTGCACATATGACCCAGAACTTAAAGTATAATAAAACAATAATAATAATAATCAAAGAAATTAGTAATGATCTAGCTTAGTAGATCAATTTTGGCAGCAATATGAGAATGACGGTAGTAATATGAGAACGATGGTAGTAATGATCTAGAATAATATAGGTCCTTTTATAAAAATCAGATCATTCCAATTTACTTTGTCTTGTGTTAGTGCTTAAATGAGATAATTCATAGAAAGTGCTTTTCAAAGTGCTGGACACATTAGGTCTCAATCAAAGTGAAGCACTGCTATTTTCTTTTAATGGAAGAAGAATTCTTGTCAAAAATAATTTTAATGCTATTATTCCTGCTGGGATATTGACACTATAATATTATGCTGGGGAATATTACATGTGTTCTCATGGATGTTCATAATCCTGAAAAACTGACATTGTATATGTATTTCCCAGATTGCAAAGACACACTTGGGCTCTGGAGATTCAGTATTTATATTAGACATTATGAGGATGAAGTAAACATTCCAAACAGTTGTCTTATCTTCATGTAATCACTGGGCTTCCTGGAAAACTGAACGTGTTTCCTCTACAGCTAAATACTATATGTTTAATGGGAGAAAATTAAAATTTATTCCAATGTATGATATTTTTAGTACAAAATCTGTCGGTATTAAGTAAAATACAAACACACACACACACACACACACACAAATAAAAATTTTACTTTGCAGGGTGGGTGCAGTGGTTCAAGCCTGTAATCCTGATGTTTTGTGAGGGCAAAGCAGGAGGATCACTTGAGGCCAGGAGTTCTAGACCAGCCTGGTCGATATAGAAAAACTCCTTGTCTACAAAACAACAACAACAAACACTTTAGCCGGATATGGTGGGGTGTGCCTGTAGTCCCAGCAACTTGCTTCTTGAGTAGCTAAGGCTGGAGGAGAGGATTGCTGGAGTCCAGGAGTTTGAGGCTGCAGTGAACTATTATCGTGCCACTGCCTTCTGGCCTATGCAACAGAACAAGACTCTATCTCAAATCCAAAACAGAAAACGTTGCAAATATGTTTTTCAATTCATTTGTTTGGAATTTGTTGGGGCCAAAATCTGTTTTGTTTCACATATTTGGGCATGGTTTTCATATGAGAAGTCTTTAGTTACTATTTTAAATGTATTCCCACCATATCTATAAGAAAATGATAAATGATAGTGTATGCAAATGGAAACTAAAACTATAAAAACAATTCTGTATTCCTTTTGAGTGTCAAATTTTCTTGCAAAACAAAAACATAGACAAGAGACACAGACGGAACATAATAGTGTTAAACATGAAGTGTATCTAAAAACTACAGATGGACGAATGAACTAGGCATTTGGAACATGGAGTGAACCTGAATCTGACTAATAGAAAACCCAGATCTTTAAGAGAGTTGTATTGATGAAAGCCTGCATCTTGAACTAAAAGGGGTTGAAATAGTTCAAAATGAAAAGTGGCCCCTGTGACTTCAACTTCCTAGTGACAAGAAGCCAAATGACAAGTCTACCCAGCTGGAAGCACAACCCCTGTCTTATTGAAAATAAATACTTTTCCCTAGGCATTTCTCAGATACTTATTTTAAGCAGAGCTCTAAAGACAGAGGGTGAGGCTAAGAGCTACTGAAAGTAGTGGCTGAAAGAGTCATGTCTATGGACATACAAGGGATTATGGAGCCCGTTCCAATGCATAAAACCAGATTCTAACCAAGGAACATCCTTGCTGCAGTAGAGGAGGACTTGGCAACATCCAGGTATCAGCTCACTTACCAACTGGACTCAGACCCCTAAGTTAGCTGAACAGAGATTATCCGAGAAGTCCTATAGAATTGCAAGCTCCTTTTTTAGAGGGGTTTGTTTTAAGGTACTAAGTTTTGGGGTGGTATATTATATAGCAAAAGCTAACTAAGAGAGTCTCTCACTATATATATAAAATTGTTCAAGTGAACCTCTGAATAAAGTGTATAATTCAACTTAATTAGTCTGTAATTTAGTTTATCTCAGCCTTATGGATACCTAGTTTTGTTGCTATTGTGAATGGAACTGCTTTCATCATTTTTTCAGACAGTTCATTATTTGTGTATAAAAACACAACTAACTTTTGCATGTTAATTTTGTGTTCTGCAATTTCACTGAATTTGTTGACTAGTTCTAACATTTGTTGTCGTTGTTGAGTCTTTAGGCTTTCTACATATATGATCATGTTATCTGCAAACAGAAGTACTTCTTTTTGGATTTGGATGTCTCTTATTTCTTTTTCTTATCTAACTGCTTTGGCTAAGACTATGAAAACATAATTTTTGATAGTAGACTACAAATGATCACCTTAGTCAAAATCTAATTGTTGTGAGAAAGCAAAATCTATAAGTAGTACTTTCTATAACATACTCTGTAACAAAGTTTTGTTATGTTGAGGATAATGAGGAAAGTAGTGAGATGTGTCTTATTTGGTGTTCCACACATTATTCATACATGGGTCTCTGGATTCTTAAGTCCAATTAGTAGAAGTTAACCATATAGACAATGGCTTTGAAAAACGTACAATTTATTGTTTATATTACAATTCATTGAAGACTGAATATAAACGCATAGACATTTTCTTTGAAATTTAAATAATTAGGCCATGGTTTCCTAAGTATGAAACCAAAATCATGAACAGCCAAAGAAAAAAATAGATGAACTGAACTTAAGTAATACCTTAAATTAAAAACTTGTTTGGCTAGGCGTGGTGGCTCATGCCTGTAATCCCAGCACTTTGGGAGGCTGAGGCGAGGCAGGTGGATCACGAGGTCAGGAGATCGAGACCATCCTGGCTAACACAGTGAAACTCCGTCTCTACTAAAAATACCAAAAATTAGCCAGGCGTGGTGGCATGAGCCTCTAGTCCCAGCTACTTGGGAGGCTGAGGGAGGAGAATTGCTTGAATCCAGAAGGCGGAGGTTGCAGTGAGCCGAGATCGCGCCACTGCACTCCAGCCTGGGTGACAGAGTGAGACTCCATCTGAAACAAAACAAAACAAAACAAAAAAAACTTGTGTGTGTGTGTGTGTGTGTGTGTGTGTGTGTACACATACCCACCTATCAACTCAACAGAGTTGAAGCCACACTGAGAAAATGTAGTCCTTGTATGCTAAACACTTATCTAGCGCCAGAGATGCAATAATGAATCTGACACATTTGAGGATCTAAATCATATTCTGATGAGTTCAGATGCATTCACGATGACATGATTGTGAACTACTTAGGTAGCACTTTCCATATCGTGTTCCTGTACAAGTTAGATCCACGTTAGGATCTCAGTAAATATTTGGTTGTCTTACAGTATACTGCTTTAGACAAACTTTGTTTTCCCAAAGACCCTGAGAGATATTCTATGACTAACATGTCTTGATCTCATAGAATTCCTATAATAGTTATCTGCAGTCTCCATTTTCTTCCAAAGATTAATATGGTTTGGGTGGGAATATTTTGATAAAGACACATCTATCACAACCTATAAAAATAACTTGAATTATCTCAAAATATGGTGCCACAGTTACTGTGGGAAGTACTAGCTCCCTAAGAAAGCATGATCTTAAAACAACTTTTAAACAATTTGTTGCTTACTCAATTGCTTTGTGAGGAACAACTTGAGATTTATCATGCTTAATTGGCCCTCAGGGAAACATTTACTATTTTCGACATGGTAGGCACAGGAAACCTCCCCACACACATCTCACTAAGACAAAATGTATCCTTTGAGATTGTAGATTTGGAGTGAACCATGATGGATGTGTTTTATGAAAATAGCTTATGATTTATAGATGGATGGATTTACTGCATGATACTCCAACTTCCTAGATGTGACCTATCAGTCCAGAATAAGGCCACTTCTCAGTTATTAGCCCTGATAATAATCATCTATATGTACTTGGCGCTTTATGGAATGCAACTGTTTCCACGGTAATGTCTGTCACTTCATGTAATATTTGAGTATACTGTAAGGAATATAGATCACCTGAAAACAATTTATGCTTGGTTTTGGAAAATGTTTTGGAAATAGAAACAGCAGTTCCGTCGGCCTAATGTGTACCCAAGGCTTTTTCACATTATCTCATGCACGGAGTGTCGGTTTCAGAACCAGAGAACTTGATTTCTATCCTGGTTCTGCCGCTTGCAAACTGTGTTACCTTGGGCAACTTACTGAATCTCTCTTGCCCCAATTTCCTCAAATAAAAAATGCAGATATTTGTACCTGCTACATAGGATTTTGGTTAAGATTATAGGAATTAATACATGTGAAGAGTATAGAAGTGCATTTATTCAACACCCATTATATAACCCAATTGTAATATAAACAATAAATTGTATGCTTTGGCCGGGCGCGGTGGCTCACGCCTGTAATCCCAGCACTTTGGGAGGCCGAGGCAGGTGGATCACGAGGTCAGAAGATCGAGACTATCCTGGCTAACACAGTGAAACCCCGTCTCTGCTAAAAAAAAATCCAAAAAAATTAGCCGGGCATGGTGGCAGGCCAGCTACTCCGGAAGCTGAGGCAGGAGAATGGCCAGAACCCAGGAGGCGGAGCTTGCAGTGAGCCGAGATAGCGCCACCGCACTCCAGCCTGGGCCACAGAGCGAGACTCCATCTCAAAAATAAAAAATAAAAAAAATTGTATGTTTTTCAAAGCGTTGTCTATATGGTTGACTTTTACTAATTAGACTTAAGAATCCAGAGACCCATGTATGAATAATGTAAGCAAGGTAAGCAATAAATGAATGTTAATTGATTGTTTTTCAGTTAAGAAGTATTCCTCCTTATTTATGTATATTATGTACATAATTTCAGATTATTCCCATGTCATGGTAATTATTATCTCCATTTTACAGGTGAGGAAAATAGATGTATACAACTTACCATAAAAGGTAGCCTTCAGATCTAAATAAAAATATTCTAACTTCTTCTCAAGTAGTGATTGTTTTTCTTCTTATTGAGATCACAGGTGTTTTATTCCATTATTGTTGCTGTTATACTACGCCAAAAAAAGAAAAGAAAAAGAAACGACTTAATGAGTATAAGTCTTGAATTGCTTTCTATACTTTTGTTTTCTATTGTGTTTTCCATACTTTTTTGTTTTAATTCTCCCCTTGGGGCAGTTTTCTTTGTGACATATGTCTTCCTTAGTTCTGTTTCCCCAGCACTGAGCGAAATACCTGGTTATATAATGGGTGTTGAATAAATGCACTCATTTTAGGCTTTTGATTCTAAACTAATCACTTTGCCCTTCTTTTTGTGCAAATGATTCTGTGTACCAGTGGTGAGACCCACACGTAAACCATATATTTAGTTCAATTGATTCCACATGCCATGAGGAGCAAGTTGAACATCCATGAATGGGGGAAAGGATGTTGATGGGAAAATGCTGTCAATAGAGACAGTGGCTGATATTTGTTTCATTTCCATTCAGGCAGTATTTTATTTAGAGACAAAGTGATGCTCAGCTCTTCCTCATTTTCTTCTTAAAGCTCTTTCTTTATCCTTCAGGAACCCCTGCAATACATTTTCAGATCTTTGAATGCAAGTTGAAGCATATGTTCATGCAGTTAAAGTATAATTAATATTTCAGTAACTTAATATATGCTCATGAACTCAACTGCATTGAGTCATTTTTAAGAGAGAGCATATTCATATGAAATATTTCTCACCCATAAGTTCTAGTCTATCTTTTTATTTTAAATCATTTTCATGGTTTTTCAAATAGGAAAAAGGCTATGATGGAGATGTGAACTGTTGGTGAATTCAAATAAGAATAAATAAATGTTTAATGAGCCATTCTTAATGCATCTTATGTCACGATGCTCCTTTCAAGGGTTGGTGTGTAATTTTATAGCATTGAGTAAGGTTCTTGGACATTTTATTGTATTTGAAAACTGGGGGGATTAGTAACACTCTTAAGGTGGTTTTACTCCATGTTACAAAACAAAGCTCTTTATTTGTCTTTAAAGGTGAAAAAGGAAAGAAGGGGATTGGAAAGGTATGAACATGTTATCGTGCAGGAGACAGGGTGCAAAGGATCACTTAACATTCCTCTTCTCTGAAATTATCTATTTCCATTCTATAGCATCTTTGTTTGTCATTCCCCTGGTTATGTGGCTACACATAGGCTGGCTTTGTTTCTCCATCCAAAACTCTGATCGTGTTACCTTTATAACTTGGCGTATGGCAACAGAAGGGTCAACAGTGCCACCTTCCTCATGGTTTGTGTGACTTCATTAGTGAAACAGAACTGTGGGAACCAATTTTTTAGGCAACCCTGAAGTCACTTTGGGCAAGAAGGAGACTTTCATATCTATCACGAAGTTTGATCATTTAAACAGCATTATAACTTAGAAGACTTTTGGTGGGCAAAATTAATAGCTTAGTGTTAAGATATTTAGAATATTGAGAAGGACTCAATTTTATAATGTACATTTTATTTCACGTGCAAAATATTCAGTATTTCTAATTTAAATCAAAAAATTAGATGATTTGATTTTTAAATAGTGCTCTCACCCTCCTATCCTCATGAGATGATAATATTGAAAAAAATTACAAGGAAATTTCTGTTACCTGTAGATAAAAGTAGACAGATTGTTAGATAAAATGAAGAGCTTTTATAGAAAAATGTTATTGTGAAATATAAACCTAGAAAATGTTTCAACTCTAAAATTCTATACTTTTATGTTCCACAGTTTTGAAGATGGGTTGTCACAAAAAAAAAGTAATCCAAGGAAAATTAATCTAACTGAGCTGTTGCATTTCAAAAATCTTTAAAAAAATTTGCAAGACTGCTGATGCTGTTTTTAAACTTTATACTCTGTATGTAAAACACATAATTGCCTTCAAATCTGAGAGTGTAAAGACCACAGTCTGATCCCTGGGAAGTCAGTGCTATCGAAATCCAGAAATCAATCTGTTTTTGTTTATTGCTTGTGTCCAGAAATGAAGCATTGAATCCTTAATATTTCAATTTTAATATAATGTCATATCATTCATGCAGCAGGCACCGCTCTTCTTATGTGGGAAGAGTTGCAGGAAAAATAGCTCAGTTCTCTGCCAGATGGTGGGAGCCCAGAAATAAGAAATTGGAGCCGAGAGGACAGATGAGGTCAGCTGGGCCACCTCCCCTGCCAGAGCAGAGAGCCCCATCTATCTGGTGTTCAGTGGGCATGGTTACCCTGCCCGTGGGCTCTGTGGCTTTTTAGAATCCCACAGATACAGACACCACTGATTTCGGTTTTGCTTTTCATCACATTGCAAGGCTGCAGCTTGTAACTCCATGATGTTACCTTTATTACTTCTGCCAATCATATTCAACACAGCCTCCCATCCCTCTGGTCTAGTCATGGTCCTCCATGCTATTTGACAAATAAGAGAGTTTTATCAAAGCATGACAAGGAATTTAGAGATCATTGTGATGAAATAGAATTCAATATAAAAGATATTGTGATTTCTTATATTAGTATATAAGAGGTGGAAAATGTTTTAGTCTTGGCAGGCCATACAGTCACAACTACTCAACTCTTCCATGGTGGTGTGGAAGCAACCATATATAAACCATAAACAAATGAGAGTAGCTGCATGCTAAATAAAACTTTAGAGTTGGGACCTTGCTTGTTGCCCAGGCTGATTTTGAACTCCTCACCTCAAGCAATCCTCCAACCTCAGTCTCCCAAAATGCTGGGATAATACGCATGAACCACTATGCCTGGCAGTATGTGACTTTTTAAAAATTTTGAAGCTTTTTGAATCTTCTATTTTTGTTTGGTGTTTTGATATTTCCAAAGGTGTGTTTTAGTATGAGTCCCCTTTCTCCCACACTTGCATTGGGGAATATTTGGTGGTGTTTTCATGCTGTAAAATTGTGTCTTTTCATTCTGGGAAATACTATTGTATAATTTTTTGACGTTCTCACCTCTACTTTCTCTGCCTGGAACTTCTATTAGTCATTTTGTTCTATTAGTCTATTAGAATATCCATTAGTCACATATTTTTCATTCTGGATTGATTGATTTTCTTATTGATTTCTATCTCCTCTGTCTTATTTTCTATTATTATTTTGTTTAGTCCTGCAGAAATTCTAAACACTATTTTCTCATCCTTCTATTCATTGCTAGCCTTTTGTGACATTTTTAATCTCTATGGACTCCTTTTTGTTCTTTGAATGTTCATTTCTGTTTTTGTTTTGTTTTTCAAGACTCTGTTCCTTTCTCATGGATGTAATTTCTTTTTATCTCTCTGAAGATGATATAGTTTCTTAGAAGTTTTCTTCTGTTCTCTCTTTTTCTCTTCTTCCTTTGACTTCTGTTCTGTTTATTTTGGCTTCTGTCTTTCATGCTGAAGTGTTTCTGCTCATTGGAAGTTCTGTGCATGAGTTTGGTGTTTGCCAAATTCTGATGGGTTGGGTCTTTGCAGAGTACTTCCAACAGCAAAATATCATCGTCTGATATCTTATCTTTTAAGGCAGTCAGACGACCTCTAGGAAATTGTCTAATCTGGTGGATATAACCCTGGCTACCTGCAGCCAGTAGCTAAGCAGAAGGATCGTAAGCAGGTTGTCCTTCCCTTCCTGCCATCATGCTTTCAGTAGACAGGGAGGAGGACATTTCCACCCTGAGCTAGGTCAGTAATTCTCTTTTCCAAAGAATATGATTAAAACTCTTCAGAGAGAAAATATCTTGCCTTGTACTGGGTAGAGGAGGGGATCTGAGGTCCAATTGCTTGTCCAAGATAGTTCCAATAATGCCTCATGTTTTAGCTGCATCTTGGTCGTTAATTCCTACATTTTCAGAGGGTCCGAGGTAGCAAATCACCTTTCTACTTGTTGGTTTCCTTTCTTTTGGCTTCTTGGGCTCTCCTTGGTCCATTTCATATCTCCATTTGTTTTCCATCTCTCTACCTGTTGTCATCTCTTCCAAATTATTGTCTCTATTTTCATTCTCCTTGTGACAATGGATTTATAAATGTTTGTATTCCTTTTGTCATTTTAGTGGCGTTTCCTTTCATGTTTTAAGCTAAGACAAGTATTTCCATATCTGAATAGTTTTCTTCTTATCCTGCCCATGTGTAAATCTTCCAGCATTCAGTTAATTCAAGTCTACAATATGATAAAAAAAAAAAGCTATATGTTTTCCTCAGGATTAGCAAGGCTTGCTCTAAATATATGATCGTGGTGATTTTTTTTTTTGCTACAAATATATCATTTCCCCTTAAATTTGCTCCTGTCAGTAATAAATAAATAAATACCACGTCTTATGTTCATATGTTATTTTATGAATTTTTGAGTCTGCTTTTCTATGCTGTATAATATTTGATTTTCACAACGATCCTCAGATATAGGCCAAAACACCCCTTAATAGTTGATTACAAAAGCTCAGTATGGCTAAATGACTAATTTATTTTCAGATGTTTACAGAGCACTCACTCAAAGTCGTAAATGAAACAGCCATGGCCTCTGCCCTGTTTGCCTTACCCAAAGTCCCATAACTACTCAAGCTAAGACCAGAAAAAATTCTGACTTTCTAATGCCTATAGTGCAGTATGGCATGGTGGAAATAGTATCATCTTTAGTATTAAATTATACCTGGTAAAATCTGTGCTTCATCATGTATCATTTGTATGACTTTGGAAATCTCATTAGTCTCTTGCACTTGTGTTTTTGCATAAAAAAGATGAGAATAATTCCTCAGCTCTTAAGAGTATTCTTATTATTAAATGAGATAATGAAGTAAACGTGCTAAGAATAAAGGCTGGCACTTAGCAGTTGCTCAATATAAAAGAGACTAATTTCTCTTGGAAAAATTGTCAGAATGCAAGGTCTGTTAGTCTGTTCAGGAATTACGGTAAAATTCCACAGAGAATCTTTCTTTCTAGTACCTCCCTGTTTAACCAAGATCCCAAGGGCTTTTAGATCAATCTAGATCCTGCCTTTTCTTGGGATCATTTAACAGCTAAACCAAGAATAACTCAGTCTAATATTTATTTCCCTTGGGCAGACATAAAAAGTAAAAGGGTATGGGGTGAGGAACACACAGAATGGATGTAAAATGGTAAACTTGTACAGAACATAGACATTGGATTGAGAAGATGCCCTCAAATCCCATCTTAGAGTTGACTTTATGCTTAATATAATAAGACCCCCATGGATTTACCTTCAATGTTTACACTTTCCATAAAACTTCATTTTAGAAACCTCTGATGATTGCCCTATCACAGATTCTTGGTTGATTTACATAGCCAGAATTATTTATGTATGTGAATGTACATCAGTACACAGCATTAGCTGTGTATTACACAATATTTATAGTGGATGGCACTGAATTCTGCTGTTAGGTGCCCTACAATAGGGATTCCAACTGTAACAACATCCTCACACATGTGAGCTGAGGAGAGCTTTTGAAGTCTGTGTGCCTATGTTTGATATGTATGAACTACTGTTCCGTATATAAAAGAGATAATTATATATAAATTTTATATATTAGACTCAAAAATGTCAACTACTCAATTTTAGAGTTTGGTAGAAATATTTGAACACTAATGGATAATTAATAGCTAAGGCTGAATAAATAATCCCTTTGACACTAAACATCACTTTTAGTGGAAGAAATAAACGTTTATTTAAAGACTCTCATGAGTCACGTAGATATTTTGTTATTTTTACTTATTTTTATTATTCCAGCATCACACATATTCTAGGCTATAGGTTATTTTTCCATTGCCTTTTTAAGGTAATGGGGTCTTGTAATTTATTTTAGCTCAGGACTCTTTACTTGCCAGAATGTGTAGCTATTTTAGGTTATTCAGGCCTATGTTGGTCAATATATTATGCCAATCTTAGTCTGTTAGATAAGGATTTAAGATTTAATGTGCATAGCGTACATTTTTAACATCACACAAATAATCCAAAAAACATCTCAGTGGAGAAACTTTCATTATAACTTTTTTTCTGGGTGAAAATATCAAAGAGAAGGTTAAATCCATAAATTGCCCTAAACAAGAGAGAGTATTATGAAATAGTCCTGTTCTTTCTAAAGGCTTCTTCCAGACATCTTTCTTTTGTACCTCCCTCTTCCTAAAAATTTGAAGCCCAAGTCAGAAACCAAAGGTGATTTTCTTATTTTATGTCAGAAAGTGTATTACCTATTGTTACCTGATAAATATCAAGAAGAGTGATCTTGCATATACAGTTGACCAATGGCAAAGCTCATAAAAGGACAGTAAAGTCTGGCTTTGTTTGGTCAACAATATCACCAGGAATTTCTCCTAAAGTGCTTAATGAGATCTCCAAAAAAAAATTACATTTGACACTACTTAAAAAAGTAGGGGTTGTACTCTGAAAAAGTAATTTATTTGTTTCTAAGGGAAAGTAAGAGGCCATTTGATTTATAGAGTTTCGTTAACCCTGTATCTGCTCCATTTTAATTAATTGTCTCTGATGGATTTATCTTTTTTTTGAAATTTTAACTCTAATGGCAGAATTAGCAGCTTGAATCTGAAATTATTAAGATATATGTTAGATTAATGGAATCTCCAGCTGTTTTAATTTAGCTTGGTTCTTTCTCTTAGGCATAAATTGAAATATACGATATGACCTAAGATAAGATTATTTATGATGTGAAACTAAGTATTACAGAAAAAGATATTTTTTAAGGTAAAATAAACTTTGGATCATTTAGTAGGCTTTTCAGTTAACAGATGAGGAAGGAAACTGAGACAGAAGAGTTAAGTGAGTGGTCCAGAGGCACAGATGTATTGAGAAGACATGGGGCTAGATTCAAAGACCCAGAAATCCCAGTTTAACACCCTGGCAAACATAATTTATGTGGATTATAGTTATATCTTAACATGTAGAAAGAAACCTTGCTAAAATATTTTTATAAACACCACTGACCTTAGAGGCCAGTCCCTTACAGATATTGGCAACACTGTGAAATAGAGAAAATATACCTTTTGCTGCTTATCTTCAAAGCAATGTGTTCTCTTAAGACCTCCAAGACCACTAAGATGAACTCAAGCAATTGTAACAGCAATAACATGAATAGCTAAAGTAACCACAACTAAATAATTCCCTTTATGATTCTAAAGGTGTGATACTTTTCTGACATAGTCACTGTTGTAATATGAAGATCTTGAATATTTAAAACCATTCAGATTCTGAAATCATATATTTGGATATAAATTTATATTTAGACATTATTTTGAATTGTTATAATTGACTTTTACAAAAAATGCTGTGTTAGGCCATTCTTGCATTGCTGTAAGGAAACATCTGAGGCTGGGTAATTGACAAAGAAAAGAGGTTTATTTGGCTCATGGTTCTGCAGGCTATGCAAGCATGACACCGGCATCTGCTCGGCTTCTTGCGGGGCCTCTGGTAGCTTTTACTCATGGCAGAATGTGAAGAGGGAGCAGGTATCTCACAAGGCAGGGAAGGAGCAAGAGAGAGAGTGGGTGGGGGCAGGTGGCACACTTTACAACAACCAGATCTCAGGAGAACTCACTTATTATGGACAAGACAGCACCTAGCCATGAGGGATCTGCCCCCAGGATCCAAACACCTCCCACCAGGTCCCACCCCTAACACTGGGGATTACAATTCAACATGAGATTTGGGCAGGGAAAAATATCCAAACTGTGTAAAATGCTATGACGCAGATGAGATCACCATGTTTTCCCCCCTCTGTTATAATATGAAGAACCCTCAATTCAAAACAGCTTAAATGTCTTTCCCCCAAATCATGGAGCTTGCAAATGGCCATGCTGGAACCTGAATCTAGATGTTCTGATAAATTATCGATAATTATGTTTTGTAAATGTTAAATAAAAGTTGGAGATGAGACCGGGCGTGATGGCTCACGCATGTAATCCCACCACTTTGGGAGGCTGAGGCAGATGGATCACGAGGTCAAGAGATCGAGACCATCCTGGCCAACATCATGAAATCCCCCCTCTACTAAAAAATACAAAAATTAGCTGGACAGCTACTCGGGAGGCTGAGGCAGGAGAATCGCTTGAACCCGAGAGGCAGAGGTTGCAGTGAGCAGAGATCGTGCCATTGCACTCCAGCCTGGTGACAGAGCGAGACTCCGTCTAAAAAAAAAAAAAAGTTGGAGATGAAGTAAAATTGATATTGAACTAGGCTTAGGCTTCACTGTACTCCAAATGTCAATCCACATTCCTGAGCAAAAGCCTTGAGCCTGATCAAAATACTTCACAAAACTAACATAATAAAAGTAAAATAAAGAGCAGAGAATTTGGGAAGCAAATTATGAATTTCTGTTCCCTTTGGTAATTAAATATAACAGCTAGAAATTAAACTCTATTCTCTCCTTTTTATTAAAATATAAGATCTAACACTCCATGCTCTCCACTTGATAATAGCAATTTTGAAATTTCCAAATTAACACTATGAATCTACTTACAAAATGAGAAACAAAATTAAATATTATTATTGCCATAATTCCTTACCAAAAGGCTGTATTTTCCATGACTTTCTTTACATGTGTCCTAGGCTTCTATTTATTAAACACTCTTCATTTATCACACATCACTGTTCATGATGATACAGAGTATGAGGGTGGTATAAATATCCTTATTTTTAAAAAATAATTGAGGTTTAAGAGATTAGGTTATCTGTCCATTATCAAAGACTGTGAGAGGGAAAGCCAAGACTAGAAACTCCTGAATTTACTTTAAGTGGTAATTTCATTGTTTTGTTTTTGTAATTATTTACTAATGATTTTATTTTAATAAAATTTGTTTCAACAATGGTTTCATTAATTGCAAAGTGATTACAAAGGATTTTATTTTTATTTGCTTAAAAATGAACAAAATAATACAAAGTAAAGAGTGAATGAATGTCAGTTTCATATGACATTTGGCTCTTCAGTCTCACCCAGGAAATGACCATTGTTGGTTCTTTGTTTGTATCTACCTAGAATTGTAAGTGAAGACCCTACAACTCTCCTCCTCAGTTACATTTCTAAGATAACCACTTTCAACTCTTCCGTCTTGTTTTTAGTTCTTTCTGTAGTTGCTTTCATGACTAGGCTACAATATATCTCTTTTTTCTGTAATAAACTTTTTAAAAAGTGTTGATTGATTTCTCTTCTTGAAAGATAAGACACTTTGGGAGGCCGAGGCTGGCGGATCACAAGGTCAGGAGTTTGAGACCAGCCTGGCCAATATGGTGAAACCCCGTGTCTACTAAAAATACAAAAATTAGCCGGGCATGGTGGCATGCGCCTGTAGTCCCAGCTACTCAGGAGGCTGAGGCAGAAGAATCGCTTGAACCCCAGAGGCAGAGGTTGCAGTGAGCCAAGATTGTGCCACTGCACTCCAGCTTGGGTGACAGAGTGAGACTCCGTCTCAAAAAAAAAGAAAGAAAGAAAGAGAAGACAATAACTTATTCACATGGGATATTTCTTTTTCTAGGTTCTAATTTCTGTCACATTTTAAAATGTAAAAAAAAAAGTACAAAAAAACTTTGGCTAGTTTTATAACTGCAAATAATATACCTAATATATCCCTTTTTTCTGTAATTTTCCTCCCAATCCGCCTCCCAACTTCTGTTTCCTACGCTAACACTCAGGCTTTGTGTTATGTACATTCCATGCTGCCGCCCTAATTAAGCTTTTCGTGCTTTGTGTATATTGACTCCAAAAGTTGAAGACTAATGCTCAGGTCTTGATACGTCATATATTGTAAAATCAAGATGTGCATCTGGCACCACAGAAGTGATATAATGTTATACTATTAAAACATGCTGCTCAAGCATAAGTTTACAAAGTTTCCTTAGAGCTTTGAAGACATTTCCTTATAGATTCAACCCTATATTGAGGGCTGTACATAGTGCTGTGGATGAGAAGTCTGATGCCAATCTGATTTGCTCTTTGTAGGCAAAGATTCATTCCCTTTGAAAGCTTTTAGTGATCTTCCCCAGTCATCTCTTTTCTTTAATATTTGACCCTCTTCAGTTTCCTTTAGCTTATTCACCTCTAGGTGCACTGAAGTTCTTTCTGGCTAAATAACTGTATCTGTACATTGAAGTTTATAGGGCGAGTATAGAAAATTGATGGGGGTTGTTAACGCATACAGCAGAGAAAGCATTATGATAAGGTCTGAGGACAGATATCCAAAATTGGGAATCACGGGACACTGCTGTCTATTTATTTGATAAATGTTTTAATATGAAATTATACTGGTCAAAGCTGTAGCATTATGAAATAAAAATCCAAAGCAATATTATAAAATGACTTTTTCTTTAAGTAAAATAAATAATTTCTGCTTATTTCTGTTAATATGAGTCTCAGAATTTTTCCTGGAGGCTCCTATGCTTCTGTAATATGTGATATTATGTCAGAACGGGAATAAATGTTCTATTTAATGATCATAAATAACCTATAATTCATAAATTTAAGTTTACTTTTGAAGAAAAAAAGCTTGAGAAACACTTTTTTCTGAATAGTCTGATAATTTATGTAGAAGTGAATTTTCAACCATTTATTATTAATTCTGTGTTTTGAAAAATATGAATAAACATAACACATTATTTTGTATCTGAAATTTTTAGTTTCATGGTAAAGCCATGCTGATGATGGATATTATTTCAAGCTGATAAGGAAATCTTACTACACAGCAAGTGCAAGAAAAACTCAACCAGTTCCTTGTGGATCTGCTCTTCTGTGATATTCTCTCTCTCTCTTTTTTTTTTTTTTATGATGTGGAGTCTCGCTCTGTTGCCCAGGCTGGAGTGTAGTGGCGTGATCGCAGGTCACTGCAACCTCTGTCTCCCAGGTTCAAGCGATTTTCCTGCCTCTTCTGTGATATTCTAACAGATCACAGCACCTGCTTTAAGGGACCATCAGTGACTAGCAGGGCACACAGCTGGGAGTGTGGTCCATTCAGATTTAGATGCTGAAATCCCAAGCCAAACAGATTGCATGTCTTGTTACTTTTAAACACTTCTGGGTAATAACATGCTCTGTATTACCAATATGAGTACGTTTGGTTCCTATTTTAGGTTTTGATTTTCACAGCCAAAATGTAAGTGAAGCTATGAAGAATTTTGAATTTGAACTATATGAAAAAATTATTAGATAGCTCTAACATCTCTTAAATTATTACTCAGCATTTGTAATGGGTTTAAACTATAGCCTATATTCTTAAATACAGCTATAAAACTGTCCTCAATCTGAACATTCTCTCTCTCTCTCAATCTATATATACATATTTTTTTCTCATATATATGATATATATATGATATAGATATATGAGAAAAAAGTAAGGAAAATTAGGGGATTTGTAAAAATATTTTAAAGTATGTAAACTAACTAAATGATAAACTTTATGTAACTTGGTAAATACAGTATTATAGTATTAATCTGTGGATAAAGAAAATAACTACCTATGCACAGTATATATATATATATATATACACTTATATATTTATACACAGACACATACACATATACACATACAAATACACAGATACACACTACACTGAGTGAACATATAGAGAGAATATATTACATAAATACTGGGAAATCTATCAAAGTATTAACAGTTAATATTAATATCTTTCATTACTAGAATTGAGTAATTTTTAATTATTTTAATTAAAGGCTTTCTGTATATTCTGTTTTTAGAATATGTTACTCTTGTTTTTGTTGTTTTTTTTGTGGGGGGGCGGACGGAGTCTCGCTCTTTCACCAGGCTGGAGTGCAGTGGTGTGATCTCGGCTCACTGCAACCTCCGACTCCCCAGTTCAAGTGATTCTCCTGCCTCAGCCTCCTGAGTAGCTGAGACTACAGGCCTTGCCACCACGCCTGGCTAATTTTGATATTTTCAGTAGAGACGGGGTTTCATCATTTTGGCCAGGATGGTCTTGATCTCCTGACCTCATGATCCACCCGCCTCGGCCTCCCAAAGGGCTGGGATTACAGGCATGAGCCACTGCACCCAGCAGAATATGTTACTTTTTAAAATAGGCTATGTACACACATGTCCACATGTATACACACACACACACGCACACACACACTGCACACAAGTATAGCTTCTTTGTTCAAATAACAACTTTTTCAACATTTTGAAATATCAAGCCGGGCACGGTGGCTCATCCTGTAATCCTAGCAATTTGGGAGGCTGAGGCAAGCAGATCACTTGGGGTCAGGAGTTTGAGACCAGCCTGACCAACATGGTGAAACCCCATCTCTACTAAAAATACAAAATTAGCTGGGTGTGGTGGCAGGCATCTGTAATCCCAGCTACTTGGTAGGGGTGAGACAGGAGAATGACTTGAACCCAGAGGGTGGAGGTTGCAGTGAGCTGAGATCGCGCCATTGCACTCCAGCCTGGGCAACAAGAGCAAAATTCCATCTCAAAAAAGAAAAAAAGAAGAAAGGAAGGAAGGAAGGAAGATCAAATACCCCCTTTCACAGATCAGTCTGATGGTTTGCATAAACAGATGAAAACCATGCGTAATTAATTTTCAGAATTTTTTTAAAAAAGAACAAAGAGCTTTTAGGAATTTTTGGAAGTTTGATTTTATCCCCCAAGCAACATTTGGCTACCTAATTATGATGTGTTTTAAGGATAGTATGTGGTTCAGATGAAGACCTGTTTTGTTACTGTTTTGTTTTTTAAATTATTTATTTATTTATTATTATTATACTTTAAGTTTTAGGGTACATGTGCGCAATGTGCAGGTTAGTTACATATGTATACATGTGCCATGCTGGTGCGCTGCACCCACTAACTCATCATCTAGCATTAGGTATATCTCCCAATGCTATCCCTCCCCCCTCCCCCCACCCCACAACAGTCCCCAGAGTGTGATGTTCCCCTTCCTGTGTCCATGTGTTCTCATTGTTCAATTCCCACCTGTGAGTGAGAATATGTTTTGTTTTTGTCTTTTTTTTTTATAGGCAGGTTTGAAATGCTTGAACAGTATTATGCTCTGAAACTCTTACACAATTTTCTTTAAACATTTGAATATGATCACTAATCACATTTAGTTAGCTCACAATATGATGACAGTTAAAAATATGGAAGTGAGCACCAATGAAAATTGAAATATACTACTGTTTTTAAATTAGTAATTGATTTTAGTTGCTATTAGCTATTAAGTTATTTAGTTTTAAGAAGCTCTGAAATATCTGTTGTGTGCAGCATTTACTGATCATGATAGTTAAACTTTGTCCATTCATGAGTTAAGGTGCCGAGTTATGCCAGTGTCCTGAAGCACTCAAAGGTAAAGCCTCACATAAGAAGTCCGTCATTACGACTGGCAGATATTCATCTCTCTGCTGTTTGGCTTGGCTTCTTCTATTTGAAATTGAATTAAATCTCCTGAAAATTCATATATGGAGTGAGACTTTTACAAAAATAGCAAGTTTGTCTTTATGTTTTTAATTTGTTTTAGCAAAAATGAAAAATACGTTTATGCTTTATGACAAATTATTTCTGATAATGAAAACAAAAAATGTTTGGAAATATTTTTCTTTAAATAAATTTTAAACATATGCTTCTGATCAAAACAATATTTAAATAAAATTGAACATTGGCATAAGGTCACTCTAGATGTTTAAAGTTGAGATGGCAATTTTAGAAGCTGATTTCCTTACCAAACTTCATTATTTTTTATGTCTATATTAGCCTTCTTATCCCAGCATTGAACCAATTTAGTTTAAATCCTGCCTATAATATAATTCTTGGCACCTGTAACTGTCTTTCTGTTGTATGCCAATTCTTACTTCTATTTTTATTGAAATTGTTTGTCCTTAATAATTATCTTTATAGTTTCTAGGAATTACTCTTTTGATATGTAGATTTTAAAATACAAAACATGTAACATTTAATTGCAGACATTATGGTAAAAATCATATTAAAATTCATTCATGAAAAATATGTCTTCTTTACTCAAATATCTTTGTCAGGGTTTTTTTTTTTTTTTTTCAGAGTACAACCTTTGACAGGTAAATCAAAGAGGAGAAACAAGATGCCATTCTTCATTACTTGGGATTTACATCTTTACTATATTTAAGATTTATATTTTATCTGTTTAAATAGCATGATTTATATTAGAATTATATATATACACACACAGATATGTATCTATTTATATTTCTCTCTCTATATATAACCTATACCTATTTATTTAAAATACCTAACAGTATATAGAAAATGAAACAAAGAGCACCAACAAATAAAAGAAAATCAAAATACACCAGAACAACGTCAAAAAATAAGAAACACAACATGGTGAAAACCCGTCTCTACAAAAAATGCAAATAATTAGCTGTGAGTGGTGGTGCACACCTGTGGTCACAGCTACTCAGGAGGCTGAGGTAGGAGGATGGCTTGAGCCCAGGGAAGTTGAGAATGCAGTGAGCCATGATCATGCCACTGTACTTTGGCTTGGACAAAACAGTGAGACCCTGTATCAAAAAAAAAAAAAAAAAGAAGGAAAAAGAATAAAGAAACATATCTGCTAAGATATAAAATGCAAATATAGGATTTGAGAAATATGTGTTATCTGATACTGAATCAATTATCCATAGATGTATAACATCAGCTTTTAACAATATAGCCACTGGGGCTAGGCACGGTGGCTCATGACTATAATCCCAGCACTTTGGGAGGCTGAGGTGGGTGGATCACTGGAGGTCAGGAGTTTGAGACCAGCCTGGCCAACATGGTGAAACCCCGTTTCTACTTAAAAAAAAAACAAAAACAAAAACAAAAAAAATTTAGCCAGACGTGGTGGCACACACCTATAAATCCCAGATACTCGGGAGGCTGAGGCAGGAGAATTGCTTGAAACTTGGAGGTGGAGCTTGCAGTGAGCCGAGATTGCGCCACTGCACTCCAGCCTGGGCGACAGAGCCAGACTCCGTCTCAAAAAAAAAACAAAAACAAAAAAGAAAACAAACAAACATATAGATAGATAGATAGATAGATAGCCATTTGGTATCTGTCACATGTCAGACACTATGTTAAGTACATTTCCACTCCCTAATTACTCCCCTTAGAGCAACCCAGCTACCATTATATTTAGGTGTTGGTTTAGGTGTAGTCTTTTTAACTCCCATATAAAGCTAGTACAGCTAGTTGCTCTTGCCAGTAAACACAGCTGCCTATTAGAAAACATGAGAAATCATTTATCTAAGTAAAATATCACAATTGGTTGCAGATTACTGGAAAATGTAAAATATTAGGAGATCAGAGAGGCTTTAAAATTTCCTTCACTTCCTGTCTTGGTATGCTTGTTATTTTCTTTAGAAATCATAAACTTGTACCATTAAAATACCTGAAATCCAGGTAATATTACATATAGAAGGATGTCTGACAACATTTACAGAAAGTTAATGCCCCATTGAAGAAATGATGAACATATTATCTAAATATTATCTAAAAATATTATCTAAAATATTATCTAAATATTATCTAAAATGACATAGAAGACTAGAAACCCCATTTGAGTTGTGAATATTCAGGAACCATAGATGCCAGCCAAATGATGACCATGATGAAGCTCCATAAGTTTTTGGTTGATTTGCATGTGTCACTATGGAAGCTGGAACAGTGGCCTCAGGCTTTATATCTTTGAAAGGATAAGAGAAAAAATTATAACAGGTGTTTGATTTATTTGATGAGAAAATGAATAAAAGGGGCAAGAATAATGTTAAAATCTATATCTTTAATCATTTGAGTTTATATGTATAAATACAACCCTTATCTACTATAATTGATCCGTAAGCATCATTGCAAACACAATTATTTTTTTTAATTTATTTTTTGAGATGGAGTCTCAATCTGTTGCCCAGGCTGCAGTGCAGTGGCTCAATCTTGGCTCACTGTAACCTCTGCCTCCCGGGTTCAAGTGAGCCTCAGCCTCCTGAGTACCTGGCACTACAGGTGGTTTTCATCATATTGGTCAGGCTGGTCTTGAACTTCTGACCTCGTGATCCGCCCGTCTCGGCCTCCCAAAGTGCTGGGATTACAGGTGTGAGTCACTGCACCCAGCCATAAACACAATTATTAATTCCTACTAAGCATGTGAACATCTGCCGTGCATATGTGTATATATAATATATACAATATAAAGTGTATCTATTATATATAATATATAGTGTATATTATGTGATTATAGTTTATAATATAAAGTGTATAGTATATCTAATTAATATATACTATATATTATATATCTAATATATAATATGTATATCTAATATATCTAATATATTATGTATTATATATATTATATATATCTAATATATTATGTATTATATATATTATATATATCTAATATATCTAATACATATTTTGTATATATGGAGAGAGAGAGAATGAGAACATTTGTGTTTTAAAGGGGGGTATGTGGAATACTCCTATAGAGCTGAGAGAGAAACTTCAATAGGTGGTTCTGAGAAACAGATTGCAATCAATCATTTAGAAAGCTTTATTGTTTGCCCAGGAACATTGCAGAGCGGGATGAATTCTTTGGAGAAAGTATAAAATGCAGTTACAGGTAATGAAAAAAAAAAAAACTTCCCTGTAAAAGTTTATCTCAACAATTATTTACAGTTAACATTCCAAAGACAAATGTTTGCATTTTATAACAGGTTCAGAGAAGCACCCAAGAATGTGAAATAGTGTCAGCTTCTAAGACACAGTAGACAGGGAGGCCACAGTTTTATAAATCATAGAGAGGTTGAAGTATTTTATACTGTCAAAATATGTCTGTGTGTCTGTCTGTGCATACAGGCTTATTTTCTCGGAAAGGATTTCCATGAGAAAGAACTTGTAGGGGAGAAAATCTAACTAGTTACATGCATGTTGGGAGATTGTTTTCAAGCAGATCTGAGAGGAGAGGGTTAACAGGTGAAACAATACCCAGCGCTCTATATCCAGGATGCCGTTACAGTAAATGAGGTAATACTGGTCTGCCGAGACTAGGTAAAGGGGTGGCTTAGAAAGGATGATCTCAAGCTGCAGTCAAATCTAAATTAATTAACTCCAGCTACTCTGAAATTCTATTGTGAGAAAGTGGTGACTGAAGCCAGGTCTCAGACTGTACTGTGTCATGATGAGAGAGGAATGAAATAATTAATACATATCTTACTGTGACACAGAATGACCAAGCTGCAATATTAGATAACTCTGGTAAAATGTGATTTATAATTAGCTATAATTGCTTAAAATCTTCTCTGATTAACAAACACAATTGGAAATAAATTTATAAACATTAAGATAGTTGCAGAATTTTCTTAAAATGGATAAGAAATGTGTGAAATCATCAGGTATAGTGTTCATTATTAGATGTATTTTACAAAGCCTTGTATTAAAAATTACCTTTTAGCTTTTTTCAAAAAATTTAAAGGATAAATGGACTATCTGTTATATCTGTGACGAAGGTGACAATAAACAGATTATCAGAGTGTTAACACTTTATACACTTTAGATGAGATAGAAAAATAGGACATTTAAGAGCAACCTGTTGCACCATCAAACATACTTTCTACTTTGGGTGTGGCTTTGCAGAGCTGTGAATATCTGCTGCCAGTTACTAAAATACAGAGTTTATATAGAAATGAATAATTAAAATTTTATCTAGGGGAGGAAACAAATTGCACATTGAATCAACAAAATTATGAATTAGTTGTCTGTTGAGTCCCTAATGCATGACTTGGTCCTGTAATTCAGATTTCCTCACCACTGGTGTTAATAAAATTGTAAACTCAATGATTTAAATTTTATTGCTGCAAGCTGTAAATAAGTAGTTCTAAAATAAGCCATATGAATATATTAGATAGGAAGAAGTCTCTCCAACCCTTAATTGATATGGGAAGTCTCTTTGTTTTCTCCAAACCCCAGTTGGCCTTCTCCTCACATGGGTGTTATCATAGGATAATAACATATTTTCGTGTAGAAACCCCTGAATTTACCTTCACCCACTTATTAGTCTCTAATAGGTGAGATTTAATCCCTTCATGTGAAATTTTATTCATTCAAATTATCCTGAAGAAAATAAGGTGTCAAGCTGACAAGACTAGCCCCAAACAAATCCTTATAATCAGAAGAGATTGATAATTTTGATTAAATCATGATGTCCGATGGTGAAATTTTGTTCTTGTTCAGCCTTTTATGGCTTCATAAATGATGGAAAATTCGAGGGGAGAGTTATAAAGAACTGGTTTTCCTAAAACCTCTATAAATTGGGCAACACGTTTGGTAACTATAGTGTAAATTACATTACAAATGGATACAAACACCCTCTTGCCACCATTGCACAGTATACATAGAGGGGTGCCCAGTCTCAGAACACAGGAGTGTGAGTGCAAACGCCCAGGCAGAAATGTTGCAATGCCATTGTCAGGAGGTAACTCTTGTAACTTTGTGGGCACAGGACATCAGGCAAGGATTGCATTAATGTGATTATGGTTGCTAATGGCCACAGTGGTATTCAGGAAGATGCTTCAAGGGGTTCTGTGGACCACTGAGGTCTCACTATGCAAACTCACTAAAGAAGGTTTTGGCAGAAGGCAGCTGGTCAACCTACGTATATATATGTGTGTGTATGTATATATTTACACACACACATGCATACACACATGCATATATACATACATATACATACACATATATACACACATAAATGTATAGTATATATAGAAAAATACATATATACGTATATATATAAATACATATATACATGTATATATAAAATGCTTTCTGACCCACCCCATCCAGTAAATGTCCATTCTCTTTCCTTTTCATTCTCAGACTGCCTTAGACAGTTTGCCTCAGTAAATATTGGTTGACTTAAATGTGTACTCAACACTAAATGTCCAAAGAACCTTCTCTTCATGTTTTAGAGCTTGATTTGCATGCTCATTAGAATGGGAAGATTTTATATTGTTTATTATAATTTAAAATGTATGCCCAGATGTTAGAAAAATAGATTGCGCCATTTTTAAAAAGAAAATGAAATAACACATAAACAAAATAGGCAGTTGTGTCATCAAATGAGACTAGCATTTGTGTCGTTGTCCTGAAACATGATACTGTGTCACAGACATCCAGGGCTGGTCAGTAGCTGAGCTACCACTTGCTTCTGAAGCTCTCTGAGGAGTCGTGCTGCCATTAGATACTGGAGTCTGAAGCCAGCTTAACAGAAAAGACGAGGTGGTGACCGGGGTGAGAGTTATCTCCTAAATTGGTGTAACTGAAACTCTCTCCTATTCCCAGAGTGTGCCTGCTGTCTCTCTTAATAGACTAAACATATGTGTCTTTTCAATCACTTAGGAAAAGATGTTATGAAATAACTATGGTCATAAATGGGCCATGGATGGGTTTAACATAATATCATGATCCATTCGTGATTTCTAATTGACTGTCAAATGCATCACAGTTAGCTAAGATATTTATTTTTAGTGGTATATTATCCAATAAAGGTCATAAAAGAGAACATGGATATTTTCAGCTCAATTCTACAAAAATAACATAATGGTTATTGATTTCATTTTCCAAGGAATGATAACATGTATTTATTTCCCTAATTTAAAGGTGTTGCTTGTGTTACATTCTTATTATCTAAGTGAACAGAAAATGCTGTTTTTCAATAGAGTTGCATGACATTTTCACTTTAAAGTTATGTTGTATATTTTTTCTATACAGTGGCATTATTTCTATTAGACTGAAAATTATTTTCTATGATAAGAGTAATAATAACAAATGACTTTGGGTGTGGCAAGGATGAATATCTGCAGACTGTCAGTACCACTCAGCAGGTGAGATACTTTCAGATGAAACTCATCAATGTAATTTTTAATGGACACATTTGTCGTCTAGCTGATTAGATTGGTTGTTTTAATTTAGTGGTCTGCTTGGGCTAATACACAGTTATATACCACATAAACACCTTTTAATCAACAACGGACAGTATATATGACCGTGGTCTCATAAGATTATAATGGGGCTGAAGAATTCCTATTGCCTAATGATTTATGTGATGATCGCCTGCAGTATTTAGTACAGTAACATGCTGAACAGGTTTGTAGCCTAGGAGCAATAGGCCGTATCATGTAGCATAGGTGTGTAGTAGGCAATAGCACCTAGTTTTTTTTTGTTTTGTTTTGGTTTTGTTTTGTTTGGTTTTTTTTTGAGGAGTCTCGCTCTGTTGCCCAGGCTGGAGTGCGGTGGTGCAATCTTGGCTCACTGCAAGCTTCGCCTCCTGGGTTCACACCATTCTCCTGCCTCAGCCTCCCGAGTAGCTGGGACTACAGGTGCCCGCCACCATGCCCGGCTAATTTTTTGTATTTTTAGTAGAGACGGGGTTTCACTGTGTTAGCCGGGATGGTCTTGATCTCCTGACCTCGTGATCTGCCCGCCTCGGCCTCCCAAAGTGCTGGGCTTACAGGCGTGAGCCACCATGCCCGGCCAGTACCTAGGTTTGTTTAAGCACTGTACACCCTATGATGGTCACATGTGAGGAAATTGCCTAACAATGGGTTTCTCAGAATATATCGCTGTTATTAAGTGATGCATGACTTTACTTCATCCCATAGCTCTTTATAAATAAGTTTTACTTATGGCATTTGGGTAAGAGTTTTGTCTGATAATGATCTGTGTCTTAATAATTGTAAAATGTATTGTTACACATATTTAATAACATCCTCTAATAGTTGAAAGTTCAAACACATAATGACAATGCTAAAATCGTCAAACAGAGGCAGTGTTCTTTGCTATTTTGGAGTTCCATACCCTTTGAGAGTGTCATGAAAAGCCATGGACGTGCCCCACAAGATATGGGGAGTGAGGGAGACATAATTATTGTGCTCCTATTCAGTGTTAGGAAGACATGGTAGTGAAATTTTAATACTTCCTGTGCATACTTGCTTTCTTCTGGTTGAGAATTCAGTGTTCTCTGCTTCCTTTACCCACTTGTTTGCTTGATGAAGATCAACTCATCCCCAGAGCAGAATCTGCAGAGCACACTTCAGCTCTCACCAGCACCATGCATCCCTGGGTGCATTATTAAGGCTAAGAGAAAAAGCCACAGATATTACAACAACTTATAAAATATAGCCACATCTAATTGTGGCTTTCATGTCACCAGATATCTTGAAAAAAAAAGTGAAGAACTTAGAGCAACTTTCTGGAAGAAAGGAGGATTTATAGCTTTTCTAGCTGTTCCACGATCCCTAGAATTCACCCCTTTCTCTATGAGGGTCTATTATTTGAGACAGAAAATGTCAATGCTTCTCTTTCTTGCACTTGGCATAATCCTGCTTGAGATACATAATATGGATAAATTACAGAATCTTGCATGCCCAAGAAGAATTCTTCTGGAAGAAACTCTTGAGAAAATGTCTTTCTTATCAAAAGAAGAGAGGTATTAATCCTTTCTTATCATTAACTACAAATTCCACTTAAATATTATATGGTCAATCTTATAAACAACCCAAAGGCCACAATTTCAATACATGATATCCTCTAAATATCTTTATTTCCCTTCCCCAAAGTGGTTTTACCAGGACAAAAAGAATACAAGCAGTTTCAACATCACTGATCATTTTACCTACTCTCCACTTTCAATCATATTAACTGTGCTTGTTTTAACAAAGACTTACTGAAAGGAATTCTGTCCTGAAGTGATTAGATTTCACAGTCATATGCCTATTTCACTTATCTCCTTCTTTTTCATTGAGCCAAAAATGTCTTTCAGGATTCACCAGCACATTCAATCCACTGATTCTCTTCCCCCAAACACACTCAATACTATTCAACACTATTTTTTTCCCAAAACCCTTTAATATATCTTTTTTAAAAAAAGACTTTGCATTTTAATACCGTGATTCCTTCTAGGAACTTCCAAGTTAACTTAAATAATTATGTGATTTATTCAAATCCTAGATTGTTTTCTAATTATCTAGACATTTGCTATGGATGAATGTGTGTGTGTGTGTGTGTGTGTGTGTGTGTGTGTGTGTGTGTGTGGTGTAAATTTCCTTAATGCTTGGCTTAGTTTTAAATACACACAAACTTTAATTGACTTAAGTCATCTTGGGCTCTTGTCACAGGCAATCGGGAGAACATTCCCCCAAATCCCAGATTGCAGGTTTCACCTTCTTGCAGCCTTCTCTTGTCTATTTCTCAATCTTTATGTTCCCCTCCAGAGCTACAACTCCCTTATTTGAGTTCAAAACTGTAGTCCCCACCAGTCTACACAAAACCAAATGCATTTTTCTTAACCTCACCCTCAATTTCTCCTTCTCCCTTCCCTACATCCCTCATTTCTCTCCTAACTCACAACCCTGACCTTTATCCTTTCCAAAATTGGGGCATTCTACCAAACCTATTTTTCTTCACGTACTCAGTGGCTTCTCAAATGGGGGCAGCTTCCCCTAAATTTTCCACTCCTTCTCATGCCTCTTAGTAGATTCAGGATCTTAGTTCATGATGGTAAAATTTATAAATTGTTGCTGTTGTTTCATATGAGAATAGCTACGAGTGGTATTTATAAAAGAATATTAATAGAACACACATGTTTAGTACTTGGAAAGCAGCAAGAATATATCCACATCATACTCATTATAGTGACCCTCCAGTGACTCAGTCTAGAACAGGCCTAACCTTGCAAATGCCAGATCTTAATGAAAATAAGTAGATTATAAGTTCTTGGAACATCTGAAAAGTTAAGAGAAAGAATTTGATTAAGACTTCTCTTTTAGAAATCAGCATTTCTAGGTTAAAATTACATTTAAGTTACAATTAAATTACTTAATTACAATTACCTGCATACTTACCTGTTAATTTATCTGATACTACCCATTCATATAATGTAATTGAAGGCAATGATCTCTTCAAATGAATGTATATTTGAGTGGGACCTATATGTGTGTACACATACACACACACACACACACACACACACACACACACACGCTTTTTTTAGTTTAATTAAACAATGTTTCCAAGAGTTGGTTACTTTGTCATTCAACCACGTAGACATCATATTTAATGACATTATTTCCAAGAAGTAGGTTACCAAATTTAAACAGAAAATTCTCCATTCATAGATAATGAATGATGAAAATCTAGATCCACTATGGGTGTTTATATTTGGAACACAAATAATTTGTTCACTGAAAAATACCATTCTATTAAAATATTATGTTTATTTTAATCATTAATTCATTACATTAATATATTTCCAATAAAATTATTTCATCTAGATTTATCACAACAGTACAGATTTTAATCCAGTAAAATAGTTTCAGGGGATTTATACTAAAGATAAGTAGTGAGTAAAGACAACAATTATAATCATTTTATTGAGATAGGAACAAGTTTTAAACAAAAGCTTTATGAAGTAAATGTTGTGTAGTTCTTTATGGGTTTTTATTTTCCTACAATGTAGCAAACAATGAAAATAAGAAGTATATCTAAATTGCTAGTGTGTGTCTTTGAGAAATCTGAGAATAAAATCGAGTCCCTTAAACCTGTATATTTTTAATGTTTTTAAATTTTTAATTATGGTATATTTATGGCAAAGTTGAAAAACGTAGTACAGAAAGTTCTCTTATGGATTATTAGGTTGACCTGTAGTTAGTCATATTAATTTAAATTGTACTATTCTCTAAATTCTCTAATATGTGGTGCCAAAATGAATAAAGCAACTAAGCCCCACACTATTTTTGAGAGAAAAATGTGGAAATGTTAATTTAAGATAAACTATAGGTAGATATCATGCTATTGAAAACCCCAAAATATAAGAAAATATGAACAGTAAATCATGGCAAAATGGTATAGACAGCAAGTTATATAAACTAGAGATCAAAAAGCTAATGCCTGTTGAGAATAACCTGGGTTGTATGGAATAATCTGTTTCACTCAACAGAGCTGTTTCTTGTGTATAATTTATTTTATTGAAATTAATCATATATATATGATATATATATTCCAAACAAGCTTCAGCATAAACTTAAGTGATTTGAGATCCTAGTATGAAACATATCATTATTATTTTATAAATTGAGAATTTGACTTCTGAGAACTTTCCAATTTAACTAGGACAAATGGAATCATTTTACACACAGTATCTTTGTGCAACATAGAGTATTTCACTTTTTAAAATCTCAGGTACCTGGTCGACAGGTCACAAAATGTAGGCTATATTTTCTCACAAGCATAGACAGGTATTAGCCTAACTCCCTGTAAATTGAATTGCCGTTTTGTGACTAGGTCATGAGAGGTATGATAAGACTAAATACATAAATATCAGACAGTTAAATATATCAACTGTGCCAGGTCTAACTACTTTTCAGAGAAGTCTAAGTAATTCCTGCCTGAAATTCTCTTAATAAGAACAAAATAAAGCTATTACTTATAATAAAAAGGACAAAAAACATAAACAGAATAAAAGATGAAACATGCTTGGGTTAAATATTTGATTTCTGCATATAAAGATGAATGTTAAATCTCTTAGATTTCTTCAATCGGAGGGCCAGTGTCTCGAGAAACAGCCAGTGTCCAAAGAAGTGAACAGATGCTTGCATTATTAAAAAGATTACAACTGGGAGTGAGATACTACATGCGTAGAACCTACTCAGACTTAAGTTAAGCACTTTGTAAGTTTTGTGAATTACAGGCAGATACGATACTTGTTGTTTGCAAAATATAGCCATCAAAGTACATACTGAGATTCATAGACAAAATTAATAAAAACTTCTTCAGGAGTGACTAAGTATATATAAAATTGTGATATCACAAGTAATAAAAAATTTGCGACTCAAAAACTCTAGTTTTGTTGAGAATGTGGGAAAATGATTAGACAGAATAGAATAAGCCTGAATAAGTAATACCAATAAACAGTAAGAACAAAGTCTGGAAGTGTGGTAGAGAATTGCACATCCAAGGTGTAATTAACATGGTTGAAGCACAGATAAATCTGCCATTAAGACAGGATTACTTGTCTTTTCTGAGAATAGTTAAGTAATTTTGAATTGTTTGAAAATTCATCACAGAGTTATATATTGTATATTTTCAATAAATCAATACTATACAAATATTTAAGTAGTCATTTTCAGACTTTACTAATGATTCTGGAATTTTTCACATTTAAAACACAATGGAATTCTAAAAGAATCTCCGATTCTGTAATGAGATTTGCTTAATTAAACTATTTAACAACAGAGACAAATAAGTTTCGCCCCCTTAATTGTAACACAGGCATTTATTAAGATAACTGTTTATATAATTATTAAGGTAAATATGTTAATAATAACATTTCTTTAATCCCTGTGTCCTCAAAGCACGTAATATACTATTTTGCATACTTTTGTTTTCGTGTATTTCCAAGATTGAAGAAAGAAATCATTCCTGGGCCATTTATCTGTCATTATTTATTAAATGTGCAATCCTTTCACTGAGGAATTAAGTGAGGAAAACTACTTTACACCACTAGTTGATAAAGGAGCCAAGTACGACTTGGTATTATTCATTATCAAGTTTTTGTTGTTGTTGTGGTCTGGTCTTTTTCTGAACTTGGACTTGCTCTTACTTTACTGAAACCGTATACTAACAACAGGGAGATGGCTGATATGGAGAGGCTAAAAAGTTCAGTCTGTCAGGAGAGGGATTCATTTCAGCCCATCAGTGTTGTTATTCTGCTAAGTGGTGACATAATCCCAAATTCACGTTCCCAAGAGATTGGCTCTCAGAATCTCTCCCATTTGCTGACTTTACTGCAAAAGAATGCCAGCTTCTGCCGTAATTGAGGAAAAAGGTTTTCAGGACAGATTATCATTTCGGAAATGGATCACATAACATATCTAAAAGTGTTAGTATAAACCCAGCCTTCTGCCCAGAGATTTGTCTTCAAGAGAATAAGTACATTTTTTAAAAAATTCTTTTTTTGTATGGACACTATATATTGGGCTTATTTGTCTTTGAAATTTGAATAATTCTGATTTTCTACAAGAAAACACTTTAGGCAAAACAGCATCCTGGATTTATAGTTAATGTGTCATTAAACTGGGGATAAAATTCCATATATTGTCCATAATATTACAAAGACTATGTGACATATTTTTAAGTGAACAAATAAAACCAAATTAGAATACATATCTGTGGGAAAAATGATATATACATGTAAGTAGTGTACATGCATAATATTCACATATGTGTGAATGTATATACAGACTTACTAATATATATGATAACATTAATAATGGTTACTTTGGAAGGAACCAGAGTGTATTTTAATTTTTACTTCATAACCTTCTGAAATATTTAACAATTTCAGGCTGTCATACTTTTATAATTTTAAAAATGTACTGAACAATTAATGTTTCTACATTGTCCTTTGCAAGCTAAGGTTTTAAAACACATAGTAAACCATGTATTTCAGGCACTATGTATTCTATGCTAACTTTAGTCAATTTTGATACATATTTAATAGGTTTTGCTAAATGCCATATGCATTCAATGAGTGCCCACAAACCACTAAGGAATGTTAGCAACAAACAAAAGTGAGGGTACCCAATGCTAGCAATGTGAGGAAACTCTTGTGAAGGGCCACAGCAGGCACTTGAGACCAGCCAATGGTTTGACAGTATCCTTCAGATATTTGGAGGGGGGTGAAAACCCAAAACACATTTAGTCAAGTTCTATATTTCAAGATAAACTTCACCCATATGTTTTTGATTCATTTACATGTAATTCATTGAACCGACATTCTGAAAGAGTTATTTGATGCATAGGGAGAGTTTTGTGCTATAATTATATGTGATACATATAATATAATGCGTAACAATTTGGAGCAGAACTTAGGCTTTGCCATGTTACAGATTACAGGCACGTGTTCCTCCCTTATGAGTCACTAAGCTTGAACCAAGGTGTTGAGTGACTCATGGAGTCAATCTACAGCTGAGATTTATATTCCAATGTGGCAGCACAGTTTGTATATATTTTTTTAAAGTCTGTTTTTCTGTGCCTCAGTTTCCACAACTGTCAAATTAGCATGATAATCTTTGTTACATTTTACTGTGATCATTTATCAGAACGTATGAAATGTATCAATGTGTTTGCAAATAATTGTTTCTAGAAATTGTGATTTTTAAAAATGTTACAGTTTATTTCAATTATGTGCTTGCAAATATATTATAACATTAATGCCTATATAATCTCTTTCAACCTAGAAGACAGACTTCCTAGAACTCTCATGACCCATTAAGTCTGTCTCGGAAGACTAATGAATACTCAGTTGTACTCATAGTTGTTGCAGTGATTACATGTAAAATTTCCCATTTTTCATCTCTCATTGCTTCCTCAAGCATCAGACAATGCAACTACTTTAGGAAATAACACTGTATTATTTTCCTCATACATTAAACAAGTAAGATCTAATTCAGAGGACTTTTATTTGCTTTATATAATTATACATATCCCTACGTATAAATACAGACTTTACTTAAAATTTTTCCATGATTCCTGTGGTGTAACTTTTTTATGCAACTCTCATAAACCACCTGGAATTCATTTTACTATGTGGAATAACGTGAAGATAAAGGCAGTGTGTCTCATCTGCACTTGCGTATTTTCTATTTGGTACAGTAGTGTTTGTGTTCATTTCCCTAAGTATGTCTTCCTCTTTCTAGACTTGGCCTGTTTCTCAGATTCTGTCTTTCAGATTTATAGCTGGATATCGTGAAGCAGTATTTCTGAGATGAATTCACCGTAAAGTTCCTAAAATCATCAAAGGGAGGCAAAACAGAAAAAGACACCCAGAATGCAAATAGCCTCAATTTGGACTATGAGTAAATTATAATATATCAAACAAACTTGGTAAGTTTGAGTTTTAGGTCAGCATATTAGTATTATCAAATTAAATGTCTTTCAAAGGATTGACTTATAGTAGTTAATGGCAGACAAAAATCATTATCTTAAAACAAATAAATTTGATTAATTAATTTATTTTGTTTTGAGATGGAGTCTTGCTCTGTCACTCAGGCTGGAGTGCAGTGGCCCGATCTCAGCTCACTACAACCTCTGCCTCCCAGGTTCAAGCGATTCTCCTGCCTCAGCCTCCCGAATAGCTGGGACTACAGGCGCACGCCAACACGCCCAGCTAATTTTTGTATTATTATTATTATTATTATTTTTTTTTTTTTTTTAAGCAGAGACAGGATTTCACCTG